>NC_000024.10:10909101-10922486 GCF_000001405.40 Homo sapiens | reverse complement strand
AAGGAATGGAATGGAATGGCATGGAGTGGAATGGAGTGGAATGGTTTGGAATGGAATGGAGTCGAGTGGAATGGAGTGGTGTGGAGTGGAGTGGACTGGAGTGGAATGGAGTGGAATGGAGTAGAATGGAATTTAGTGGAGTGGAGTGGATTGAAGTGGAGGAGAGTGGAGTGGAATGGAATGGAGTGGGAGTGGAGTGGAGTGGAGTGGAATGGAATGCAGTTGAATGGAATGGAATGAAGTGGAATGGATTGTAGTGGTATGGAATGGAATGGAATGGAATGAAATGGAGTGGAGTGGAATGGAATGAGGTGGAGTGGAATGGAATGAGGTGGCATGGAATGGAATGGAGTGGAGTGGAATGGAATGGAGTGGAGTGGACAGGAGTGGAGTGGAGTTGCGTGTAGTTAATCAGAGTGCAGTGGAATGGCGTGTAGTTAATCAGAGTGCAGTGGAATGTTATGGAATGGAGTGGAGTGGAGTGCAGTAGAGTGGATTGGAGTGGAGTGGAATTGAATGGATTAGAATGGAATGGAAAGGAATGAACGGGAGTCGATTGGAGTTGAGCAGAGTTGAGTGGAGTGGATCGGAGTGCAGTGGAATGGAATGGAATGGAATGAAAAAGAGTGGAATGGAATTGAATAGAGTTGAATGGTGTGGAGTGGAGTGGAATTGAATGGAATGGTGTGGAATGGAATGATATGGAATGGAATTGAATGATGAAATGACATGTGAGCTAAGATTGTGCCAGTGCACTCCAGTCTGGGTGACTGAGTGAGATCTAATCGAAATAAAGCAATTGAATGGAATGGCGTAGAATGAAATGGAATGGAGTAGAATGGAATGGAGTGGAGTGGATTGGAATGGAGTGGAGTGGAATGACGGATAGTGGAATGGAGTGCAATAGAATGGAATTGAATGGAATGGAGTGTAATGGAATGGAATGGAATAGAATGGGATGGAATGGAATGGAATGGAATGGATTGGAATGGTGTGGAATGGAATGGAGTTGAGTGGAATGGAGTGGTGTGGAATGGAGTGGACTGGAAGGGAATGTAGTGGAATGGAATGGAGTGGAATGGAATTTAGTGGAGTGGAGTGGAGTGCATTGGAGGGGGGTGGAGTGGAATGGAATGTAGTGGATTGAAGTGGAGTGGAGTGGAATGGAATGCAGTTGAATGGAAAATAATGAAGTGGAATGGATTATAGTGGTATGGAATGGAATGGAATGGAATAGAATGGAATGGAGTGGAGTGGAAAGGAGTTGAGTGGAATTGAGTGGAATGGAATGGAACGGAGTATAATGGAAAGGAATGGAATGGAATGGAATGGAATGGAATGGAATGGAATGGAATGGAATGGAATGGAGTGGAGTGGAATGGAATGAGGTGCTGTGAAATGGAATGGAGTGAAGTGGAATGGAGTGGAGTGGAGTGGAATATACTGGACTGGAGTGGAATCGAGTTGAGTGGAATGGCGGGGAGTGGAATGGAATTCAGTGGAGTCGACTGGACTGGAGTGGAGTGGAGCAGAATGGCGTGGAGTGGAGTGATCCTATACAAGAGTTACATCACCTGGGTGATTAGTGCAGAGATATGTCACAATGCCACTGTAGGCAGAGCCTAGGCAATTGTTACATCACTTGGTTGATCAGCTCAGGGATGTGTCACAATGCCCATGTAGGCAGAGCCTAGACAAGTGTTCCATCAGCTGTGTAATCAGTGCAGAGATATGTGACAAGTCTCCTTAAACAGAGGCTAGACAATAGTTACATCATCTGAGTGATTAATGCAGTGACATGTCACTTTGCCCCAATAGGCAGAGCCTAGTCAAGCGTTACATCACCTGAGTGATCAGAGCAGAGATATGTCACAAAGCCCCCATATACAGAGCCTAGGAAAGCGTCCCATCACCTGGGTGATCAGTACAGAAATATGCCACAATGCTCCCAGAGGTTGATCCCACACAAGTGTTACATAACCTGGGTGATCAGTGTAAAGATATGTCACAATGCCCCCATAGGCACAGCCTAGACAAAGGTCCCACCTCTTGGGTGATCAGTGCAGAGATATGTCACGAAGACCCAATAGGCAGAGCCTAAAGAAGAGTTAACATCACTAGGTTGATCAGTTCAGAGATGTGTCACAATGCCCATGTAGGCAGAGCCTAGTAAAATATTCCATCACCTGGGTGATCGGTGAGGAGATATGTCAAAAAAAACCCTGCAGTCAAAGCCTAGACAAAAGTTACATCACCTGATTGATCAGTGCAGAGATATGTCACAATGCCCCTATAGGCAGAGGCTACAAAAGAGTTACATCACCTGGGTGATCAGTGCAGTGATACATCCAAATGTCCCTGTAGGAAGAGCCTAGTCAAGAGTTCCATCATCTAGGTGATCAGTGTGGTGATATGTCACAAAAATCTCTGTAGGCAGAGCTCAGACAAGAGTTACATCACCTGAGTGATCAGTGCAGATATCTGACACAATACCCCAACAGACAGAGCCTAGACAAGTCTTCCATCACCTGCGTGATAAGTGTAGAGATATGTCACAAATCCCCCTCTAGGCAGAATATAGAGAAGAGTCCCATCACCTGAGTGAACAGTGCAGAGATATGTCACAAAGACCCCTTTAGGCAGAGCTTAGACAAGAGTACCATCACCTGTGTGATCAGTGTAATGATATTTCCCAATGCTCCTGTAGGCAGAGCATAGACAAGAGTTGCATTATCTTAATGCTCCGTGCAGAGAGATATGTAAAAATGCCACCTCTGGACAAAGCCTAGAAAAGAGTTACAACGCCTAGGTTATCAGTGCAGAGGTATGTCACAAAGCCCCGTGAAAGTACAGACTGGAGAAGAGTTACATCACCTGCGTGATCAGTGCAGAGATATGTCACAATGCCCCCTGTAGGCAGAGCCTAGAGAAGAGTTGCATCACCTGGGTGATAAGTCCAGAGATATATTACAATGCCCCCTGTAGGCAAACCCTAGACAAGAGTTACATCACCTCGGTGATCACTTCAGAGATATGTCAAAACGCCCCTGCAGGCAGAGCCTAGAATTGAGTTACATCACCTAGGTGATCAGTGCAGGCATATTTCACAATACCCCCTTTTGGCAGAGCCTAGACAAGAGTTACATCACCTGGGTGATCAGGGCAGAGATATGTCACAATGCCCTAAGTAGGCATAGCCCAGACAAGAGTTGCATCACCTTGGTGATCAGTGCAGAGCTATGTCTCAATGCCTCCTGTTGGCAAAGCCCAGACAAGAGATACATCATCTCTGTGATCAGTGCAGAGATATGTCAAAATGCCCCTGTGGGCAGAGGCTAGACAAAATTTACATCACCTGGGTGATCAGTGCAGAGACATCTCAAAATCTCCATGTCGGCAGAGGCTAGACAAGAGTTACATTACCTGGGTGAGCATTGCACAGTGATGTCACAAGCCCTCTGTAGGTAGAGACTAGACAAGAGTTACCTCACCTGAGAGATCAGTGCAGAGATATGTCACAACACCCTATGTAGGCGAAGACTAGAAAAGAGTTACTTCAGTTGTGTGATCAGGGCAGATATATGTCACTTTGTCCCTGTGGCCAGAGCCTAGACAAGAGTTAAATCACCTGGGTGATCAGTACATAGATAAGTCACAATGTCTCCAGTAGGCAGAGCCAAGACAAGAGTTACATCACTTGGGTGATCACATCAGAGATAAGTCACAATGCCCCCTGTAGGCAGATCCCATACAAGAGCTGCATCACCTAGGTGATCAATGCAGACATAAGTCTCAATGCCACTTGTCAGTGAAGCCTATACAAGAGTTACATCGCTTCAGTTAACAGTGCAGAGATATGTCAAAATGCCACTGTAGGCAGAGCGTACACAAGTATTACATTACTTAGGTGATCAGTGGAGAGATATGTCACAATATCCCCTGTAAGCCAAGCCTAGACAAGAATTACATCACCTGGGTGATCAGTGCAGAGATATGTGACAAGACCCCTTAAGCAGAGCCTAGAAAATAATTACATCACCTGAGTGACCAGTGCAGAGATCTGTCACAATGCCTCTTTAGGCAGAGCTTAGACCAGAGTTACATCGCCTGGGTGATCAGCGCAGAGATATGTCACAATGCCCCCCATAGGCAGATACAAGACAAGAGTCCATCACTTCGGTGATCAGTGCAGAAATATGTGACAATGCCTCTAGTAGTCAGAGCCTAAAGAAAAGTCCCATCACCTGAGTGATCAGTGCAGTTATGCCACAATGCCCCATGTAAGCACAGCCTAGACAAGAGGTACATCATCTGGTTGATCAGTAAAGGGATATTTCACAATGCCCCAGCAGGCAGAGCGTAAGCAAGTGTTACATCACCTAGATGATCAGTGCAGAGATATGTCACAAGGGCACCTATTGGCAGAGCCTGGACAAGAGTTACATCACCTGGGTGATCAGTGCAGAGATATGTTACAATGCCCCCTCTGGGCAAAGCCTAGAAAAGAGTTACATCACCTAGTTGATCAGTGAAGAGGTATGTCACAAAGCCCCCTGAAAGTACAGCCTACAGAAGAGTTACATCATCTGGGTGATCAGTGCAGTGATATGTCACAATTCCGCTGTAGGAAGAACCTAGGAAAGTATTATATCACCTAGGTGATCAGTACAGAGATATGTGGCAAATCCCCCTTAGGCAAAGCCTTGAAAAGAGTTACATCATCTGGGGAATCAGTACAGAGATATCTCAAAATGCACCCATAGGGAGAGCTTAGACAGGGGTCACATCACCTGAATGATCAGTGCAGAGATGGGTCACAAAGCCCCCTTAGGCAGAGCCTAGACAAAAGTTACTTCACCTGGATGTTTAATAAGGAGTGAAGTCACAAAGCACCTTGTAGGCAGAGCCTAGAGAAGAGTTACCTCACCTGCGTGATCAGTGCAGAGATATGTCACAATAACCCCTGGAGGCAGACCCTACAGAAGAGTTACATCACCTGGGTGATCAGGGCAGAGATCTGTCAAAATGCCCCCTGTAGGCAGGTCCCAGACAGGAGTTGCATCACCTCGGTGATCAGTACAGAAATATGTCTCAAAGCCCACTGTTGGCAAAGCCTATACAAGAGTTACAACATCTCGGTGATCAGTGCAGTGATATGTTAAAATTCCCCTGTAGGTAGAGGCTAGAAAAGTGTTACATCAGCTGGGTGATCAGTACAGAGACATGCGGCAAATCCAGCTTTAGGCAAAGCCTAGAGAAAAGTTACATCATCTGGGGAATCATTGCAGAGATATCTCAAAATGCACCCATAGGGAGAGCTTAGAGAGGGGTCACATCACCTCAGTGATCAGTGCAGAGATGTGTCACAATTCCCCCATAGGCAGAGCCTAGACAAAAGTTACATCACCTTAATGATCAATACAGTGATGTCACAAAGCACCTTGCAGGCAGAGCCTAGAGAAGAGTTACATCACCTGCAAGATCAGTGCAGAGATATGTCACAATGCCCCGTGTAGGTAGAGCCTTGAGAAGAGTTGCATCACCTCGGTGATCAGTGCATAGTTATGTCAAAATGCCCCTGTGGGCAGAGCCTAGACAAAATCTACATCACCGCGGTGATCAGTGCAGAAATATGTCATAATGTCCATGTAGGCAGAGCCTAGACAAGAGTTACATCAACAAGGTGATCATTGCAGAGTGATGTCACAACGCCCTCTGTAGACAGAGACTAGACAAGAGTTACCTCCCCTCAGAGATCAGTGCAGAGATATGTCACAACACCCCCTGTAGGCAAAGACTTTACAAGAAGTACATCACCTGTGTGATCAGTGCAGATATATGTCACTCTGTCCCTGTGGCCAGACTCTAGACAAGAGTTACATCACCTGGGTGATCAGTGCAGAGATAAGTCACAATGTCTCCAGTAGGCAGAGCCTAGACAAGAGTAACATCACCTCGATGATCATTTCAGAGATATGTAAAAATGTCTCCTGCAGGCAGATCCCAGACAAGAGTTGTATCACCTCGGTGATAAGTGCAGAGATATGTCTCAATGCCTCTTTCGGCAAAGCCTATACAAGAGTTACATTATCTAGGTGATCAGTGCAGTGCTATGTTAAAATGACCCTGTAGGCAGAGCCCAGACAAGAGTTACATCACCTGGGTGGTCAGTGCAGAGATATCTCACAATACCCACTGTAAGCAGAGTCTAGACAAGAGTTACATCAACTGGGTGAGCAGTGCAGAGATATGTCATAAATCCCACTGTAGGCAAAGCCTAGACAAGTGATACATCACCTCAGTGATCATTGCAGAGATATGTCCCAGTCTCCCTGTAGGCAGAGCTTAGACAATAGTCACAACTCCTGGGTGATCATTGCAGAGATACGTCACAAAGCCCCCATATGCAGAGCCTAGACAAGAGTTATATGACCCGGGTGATCCGTGCAGAGTGATGTCACAACACCCTCTGTAAGCAGAGACTAGAAAAGAGGTACATCACCAGGGTTATCAGTTCAGTGATATGTCACAATGCCCCTGTAGGCAGAGCATAGAGAAGAGTTGCATCAACGGGGTGATCAGTGCAGAGATATGTCACAATGTCCCAGTAGGCAGAGCTTAGATGTGTTACATCACCTGAGTGATCAGTGCAAAGATATGTCACAAAGTCCCCTGTAGGCAAAGACTAGACAATAATTACATCACTTTCGGGATCAGTGGAGAGAGCTCACAATTCCCTTGTAGGCAGAGCTTATGAAACAGTTACATCACTTGGGTGATCAGTGAGGAGATATGTCACAATGCCCCCATAGGCAGATACAGGAAGAGTCTGTCACCTTGGTGATCAGTGCAGAAATAAGTCACAATACCCCTGTAGGCAGAACCTAGACAAAAGCCCTATCACCTGGATGATCAGTGAAGAGTTATGACACAAAGTCCCTTCAGGCAGATCCTAGACAAGAGTTCCATCACCTCGGTGATCAGTGCAGAGAAATGTCACAATGCCACTGTAGGCAGAGCCTAAAAAAGAATTACATGACCTAGGTAATCAGCACAGAGATAGATCACATGCCCCTCTGGCAGAGCCTTGAAAAGTCGTACACCACGTGGGTGATCATTTCAGGGATATGTCACAAAGCACCCTGTAGGCAAATCGTAGTCAAGTGTTACATCACCTGTGTGATCAGTGCAGAGATATGTCACAATGTCACTGCAGGCAGAGCCTCGACAAGAGTTACTTGACCTAGGTGATCAGTTCAGATATACATCGCAATGCCCCTGTAGGGAGAGCGTTGACAAGTGTTACATCACCTGGGTGATCATTGCAGGGATATGTCACAAAGCACACTGTAGGCAGACCCTAGACAATAGTTACATCCCCTAGGTGTTCAGTGCAGAGATATGTCACAAGTCCCCGGTAGGCACAGCATAGACAAGAGTTATATCACCTGGGAGATCAGTGCAGTGATATGTCACAAAGCCATGTAGCCAGAACCTTGACAAAAGATAGATCACCTGGGAGATCACTGCAGAGGTATGTCACTATGTCTCCAATAGGCAGAGCCCGGACAAGAGTTGGATCACCTCAGGATCAGTGCAGAGATATGTCTCAATCCCCCTGTGGGCACAGCCTAGACAAGAGTTACATCACCTCGGTTAACAGTGCAGAGAGATGTCAAAAAGCCCCTGTAGGCAGAGCCTACACAAGTGTTACATCAAGTAGGTAATCAGTGCAGAGATATGTCACAATACCCCCTGTAAGCAGAGTCTAGACAAGAGTTACATCACCAGGGTGATCAGTGCAGAGATATGTGACAAGGCCCCTTTAAGCAGAACCTGGAAAATAGTTAAATCACCTGAGTGATCTGTGCAGAGATCTGTCACAATGCCCCTTTAGGCAGAGCTTAGACCAGAGTTACATCACCTGGGTGATCAGTGCACAGATATGTCATAATGCCCCCATAGTCAGATCCAAGACAAGAGTCCGTCACCTCAGTGATCAGTGCAGAAATATGTGACAATGCCCACAGCTGGCATAGCCTAGAGAAGAGTCCCATCACCTGGGTGATCAGTGCAGAGTTATGCAGGTAATGTAACTCTTCTCTAGGCTCTGCATGCAAGGTGCTTTGTGACATTACTCTGTATTGATCCTAGATGAGACTTACGTCACCATGGTGATCACTTCACTGATATGTCAAAATGCCCCTGTAGGAAAAGCCTAGAAAAGAGTTACAGCACCTAGGTGATCAGTGCAGAGATATGTCACAATACCCCCTTTAGGCAGAGCCTAGACAAGAGTTACATCACCTGGGTGATCACGGCAGAGATATGTCACAATGGCCCCTGTAGGCAGAGTCCAGGCAAGAGTTGCATCACTTCGGAGATCAATGCAGAGATATATCTCAATGCCTCCTATTGGCAAAGCCGAGACAAGAGTTACATCATCTCGGTGATCAGTGCAGAGATATGTCAAAATGCCCCTGTGGGCATAGCCTAGACAAAATGTACATCACCTGGGTGATCAGTGCTGACATATCACTGATCACAAGGGTGATGGGACTCTTGTCTAGGCTGTGTGTCTGGGGACTTTTTGACATATCACTGCACTGATCACCCAGGTGATGTAATGCTTGACTAGGCTCTGCCTACTGGGGCATAGTGACATATCACTGCATTGATCACCGAGGTGATGTAACTCTTGTCCAGGCTTTGCCTACAGGGGACCTTTTGACATATCTCTGCACTGATCATCAAGGTGATGTAACTCTTGCTTACGCTCCGCCTGCAGGGGCATTGTGAAACATCTCTTTACTGATCAATCAGGTGATGTAAATATTGCCTGGGCTCTCCCTACAGTGGGCATTGTGTCATAACTCTGCACTGATAACCCAGGTGATGTAAAGCTTGACTAGGCTCTGCCTACTGGGGCATAGTGACATATCATTGCATTGATCACTCAGATGATGTAACTATTGTCTAGGTTCTGCTTAAGGGGCCTTGTCACATATCTCTTCACTGATCACGCCGCTGATGGAACATTTATCTGTGTTCTGCCTACATGGGCACTTGTGACACCTCTCTGAACTGATCAACAAAGTGATGTAACCCTTGTCTAGGATCTGCCTACAGGGGCTTTGTGACATATCTCTGCACTGATCACCCATTTGAAGGGACTTTTGTCTAGGCTCTGCCTACGGGGGCATTGTGACATATCTCTACCCTGATCACCCAGGTGATGTATCTCTTGTGTTGTATCTGCCTATGGGGCATTGCGACATATTTTTGCACTAAACATCCAGGAGAAGGGACTCTTATCTAGGCTCCGTGTATGGGGGCTTTCTGACATATATCTGCACTGATCAAGCAGGTGATGTAACCCTTTTCTAGGCTTTGCCTGCAGGGTTTTTGTGACATATCTCTGCACTGATCACCGAGGTGATGGAAAACGTGTGTAGGCGCTGCCTACGTGGGCAATGTGACACATCTCTGAACTGATCAACCAAGTGATGTAATTCTTCTCTAGGCTCTGTCTACAGGGGTTTTCTGACATATCTCTGTACTGATCATCCAGGTGATGGGACTTTTGTCTAGGCTTTGCCTATGGGGACATTGTGACATATTTCTGCACTGATCACCCAGCTAATGGGACGCTTGTCTAGGCTCTGTTTATGGGGGCTTTGTGACATATCTCTGCACTGATCACCCAGGTGATGTAACGCTTGAATAAGCTCTGCCTACTGGGGCATAGTGACATACGACTGCATTGATCACCGAGGTGATGTAACTCTTGTCCAAGCTCTGCCTATAGGGGGCCTTGTGACACATCTCTGCACTGATCATCTAAGTGATGCAA
The DNA here is from genome assembly GCF_000001405.40 of Homo sapiens. Taxonomy (NCBI): domain Eukaryota; kingdom Metazoa; phylum Chordata; class Mammalia; order Primates; family Hominidae; genus Homo; species Homo sapiens. The sequence continues at coordinate 10,912,633 of NC_000024.10, read as the reverse complement.
CTCTTGCTTACTCTCTGCCTGCAGGGGCATTGTGAAATATCTCTTTACTGATCAACCAGGTGATGTAACCATTGTCTAGGCTCTGCCTACAGGGGGCATTGGGGCATAACTCTGCACTCATCAGCCAGGTGATGGGACTCTTCTCTAGGCTCTGCCTACTGGTGGCATGGTCACATATTTCTGCACTGATCACCCAGGTGACGGACTCTTTTCTTGGATCTGCTTATGGGGCATTCTGATCTGTCTCTGCACTTATCACCCAAATGATGTAACTATGGTCTAAGCTCTGCCTAAAGGGGCACTGTGACAGATCTCTGCACTGATCACTCAGAAGATGTAACTATTGTGTAGGCTCTGCTTAATGGGGCCTTGTCACATATCTCTGCATTGATCACCCAGGTGATGTAACTCTTGTCTAGGCTCTGCCTACAGGGGGTATTGTGACATATCTCTACACTGATCACCAAAGTGATGTAACACTTGTGTAGGCTCTGCCTACTGGGGAAATTGTGACATATCTGTGCACTGATCACCCAGGTGATGTAACTCTTTTCTAGTCTCTGCTTACAGAGGGCATTGTGACATCACTCTGCGTGGATCACACAGGTTATGTAACTCTTGTCTAGGCTCTGCCTATGGGGACATTGTGACGTATCTCTGCAATGATCACCAAGGAGATGTGACTCTTGACTAAGCTCTGCCTACAGGGGCATGGGACATATATCTTTACTGATCACTGAGGTGATGTAACACTTGTCTAGGCTTTGCCTACAGTGGGATTTATGACATCTACCTGCACTGATCACCCCGTTGGTGTAACTCTTGTCTAGGCTCTGCTTACAGGGGGTATTGTGAGATATCTCGGCACGGATCACCCAGGTGATGTAACTCTTTTCTATGCTCTGCCTACATGGGCATGTTAACATATCACTGCACTGATCACCGAGATGATGTAACTCTTGTATAGGCTTCGCTGACAGGGGACATTGAGACATATCTTTGGACTGATCACCGAGGTGATGCAACTCTTGTCTGGGATCTGCCTACAGGGTGCTTTTTTACATATCCCTGCAATAATCACCCAGGTGATATACCATTTGTTAAGGCTCTGCCTACAGGGGTATTGCGATGTATCTCTGCACTGATCACCTAGGTCATGTAACTCTTATTTAGGCTCCACCTAAAGTGGCAGAGAGACATATCTCTACAGTGATCACCCTGCTGATGTAACTCTTGCCTAGGATCTGCCTAAAGGGACTTTGTGACATAACTCTGCACTGATCATCCAGGTTATGCGACTCTTGTCTAGGCTTTGCCTGCAGGGGTTTTGTGACATATCTCTGCACTGATCACACAGGTGATGTAACACTTGTCTAGGTTCTGCCTACATGGGCATTGTGACACATCTCTGAACTGATCTACCAAATGATGTAACTCTTGTCTAGGCTCTGCCTACAGGGGCTTTGTGACATGTCCCTGAAATGACCACCCAAGTGATGGGACTTTTGTCTAGGCTCTGCCGACGGGGGCATTGTGACATATCACTGCACTGATCACTCAGATGATGTAACTATTGTCTAGGTTCTGCTTAAAGAGGTCTTGTTACATATCTTTCCGCTGATCACCCAGCTGTTGGAACTCTAGTCTGGGCTCTGCCTACGTGGGCATTGTGACACATCTCTGAACTGATCAACCAAATTATGTAACTCTTGTCTAGGCTCTGCCTACAGGGGCTTTGTGATATATCTCTGCACTGATCACCCAGGTCATGGGACTTTTGTCTAGGCTCTGCCTACGGGGGTCAGTTGTGACATATCTCTACACTGATCAGCCTGGTGATGTAACTCTTGTGTTGGATCTGCCTATGGTGCATTGCGTACATATTCTGCACTGATCACCAAGGTGATAGGACTCTTGTCTAGGCTATTCGCATGGGGGCTTTGTGATGTATCTCTGAACGGGTCACCTAGGGCATGTAACTCTTGCCTAGGCTCTGCCTGCGGTGGTATTGTGACATATCTCTGCAGTGATCACCCAGGTGATATAACTTTTGTCTGGGATCTGCCTACAGGTTGCTTTGTGACATATTCCTGCAATGATCAGCAAGGTGATGGGACTTTTCTCTAGGCTCTGCCTACGGGGGCATTGTGACATATCTCTACACTGATCACCCAGGTGATGTAACTCTTGTGTTGGATCTGCCTATGGGGCATTGCGACCTATGTCACAATGTGATCAGTGCGGAGACATGTCAAAATCTCCATGTTGGCAGAGCCTAGACAAGAGTTACATCACCTGGGTGATCATTGCAGACTGATGTCACAAAGCACTCTGTAGGCAGAGATTAGACAAGAGTTACCTTACCTGAGAGATCAGTGCAGAGATATTTCACAACGCTCCCTGTAGGCAAAGACTAGACAAATTACATCACCTGTGTGATCAGTGCAGATATATGCCACTATGTCCCTGTGGCCAGAGACTAGACACGAGTTACATCTCCTGGGAGATCAGATCAGAGATATATCAAAATGTCCCCTTTAGGCAGATCCCAGAAAACAGTTGCATCATTTGGCGATCAACGCTGAGATATGTCTCAATGCCCACTGTCGGCGAAGCCTATGAAAGAATTATATCATCTCAGTTATCAGTGCAGTGATATGTTAAAATGCCCCTGTTGGCAGAGCCTAGACAAGAGTTTCATCACCTAGTTGACCAGTGCGGAGACATTTCACAATAACCCCTGCAGGCAGATCCTAGACAAGAGTTGCATCACCTGGGTGATCAGTGCGAGATATTTCACAATGCCCCCTGTAGGCAGACGGTAGACAAGAGTTACATAACCCTGGTGATCCGTGTAGAGTGATGTCACAAAGCCTTCTGTAGGCAGAGATTAGAAAAGAGTTACATCACCTGGGTGATCAGTGCAGAGATATGTCACAATGCCCCCTGTAGGCAGAGCATAGAGAAGAGTTGCATCACGTGAGTGCTCAGTGCAGAGATATGTCACAATGTCCCCTGAAGGCAAAGCCTAGGCAAGAGTTTCATCACCTTTGCCATCAGTTCAGAGATATGTCAAAAAGCCCCTGTAGGCAGAGCCTAGGCAAGAGTTACATCACCTAGTTGATCAGTGCAGAGATATTTCACAATATCCCATGTAGGCAGATGCTAGACAAGAGATGCCTCACCTGGTGGTCAGTGCAGAGATATTTCACAATGCCCCCTGTAGGCATAGGGTAGACAACAGTTACATCACCTAGGTGATCATTGCGGAGATATTTCACAATACCCCCTGTAGGTAGAGGGTATACAACAGGTATATCACCCAGGTGATCAGTGCAGAGGTTTGTCAAAATTCCCTATATGCTCAGCTTATAAAATTGTTACATCACCTAGACAGTCTAGAAAATAGTTACATCATCTGAGTGAACAATGCAGTGATATTTCACAATGCCCCAGTAGGCAGAACCTAGTCAAGTGTTACATAACCTGTGTGATCAGTGCAGAGATATGTCACAAAGCCCCCCTACACAAA
>NC_000024.10:10898184-10908519 GCF_000001405.40 Homo sapiens | reverse complement strand
CACAATGCCCGTGTAGGCAGAGCCTAGACAAGTGTTTCATCACCTGGGTGATCAGTGCAGAGATATGTGACAAGACCCCTTTAAGCAGAGCCTAGACAATAGTTACAACATCTGAGTGATCAATGCAGTGATATGTCACTATGCCCCAGTAGGCAGAGCCTAGTCAAGTGTTACATCACCTGGGTGATCAGTGCAGGGATAAGTCACAAAGCCCCCACAGGCAGAGCCTAGAAAATAGTCCCATCACCTTGGTGATCAGTGCAGAAATATGTCGCAATGCCACCATAGGCAAATCCAACACAAGGGTTACATCACCTGGGTGATCAGTTTACAGATATGTCACAATGCCCCCGTTGGCAGAACCTAGACACAAGTCCCATTACCTGGGTGATCAGTACAGAGATATGTCACAAAGCCCTGTAGGCAGAGCCTAGACAAGTGTTACATCACTTGGTTGATCAGTTCAGAGATGTGTCACAATGCCCATTTAGGCAGAGCCTAGACAAGTGTTCCATCTCGTCAGTGATCAGTGCAGAGATATGTCAAAAACTACTGCAGTCAAAGCCTAGACAAAAGTTAAATCACCTGGATGATCAGTGTAGAGATATGTCACAATGCCCCCTATAGGCAGAGCCTAGACAACTGTTACATCACCTGGGTGATCAGCGCAGTGATAAGTCAAAATGCCCTTGTAGGCAGAGCCTAGACAAGAGTTACGTCATCGAGGTCATCAGTGCAGTGATATATCACAAAAATCCCTGTAGACAGAGCCTAGAAAAGAGTTACATCACCTGGGTGATCAGTGCAGATATTTGACACAATGCCCCCTTAGACAGAGCCTAGACAAGACTTCGATCACCTGGGTGATCAGTGCAGGGATATGTCACAAATCCTCCTCTAGTCAGAGTATTGAGAAGAGTACCATCATCTGAGTGATCAGTGCAGAGTTATGTCACTAAGACCCCGGTTGGCAGAGCTTAGACAAGAGTGACATCACCTGTGTTATGAGTGTAGGGATATGTCACAATGCCCTTGTAGGCATAGCGTAGACAAGAGTTGCACTACCTCAGTGATCATTGTAGAGATATGTAATAATGCCTCCTCCGGGAAAAGCCTAGAAAAGAGTTACATCACCTAGTTGGTCAGTGCAGAGATATGTCACAAAGACCCATGAAAGTACAGCCCAGAGAAAAGTTACATCACCTGGGTGATCAGTGCAGTGATATGTCACAACTTCCCTGTAGGCAGACCCCAGAAAAGGGTTACACCACCTGGGTGATCAGTACAGACATATGTGGCAAATCCCCCTTTAGGCAAACCCTAGAAAAGGGTTACATAATTTGGGGAATCAGTGATGAGATATCTCACAATGCACCCATAGGGGGAACTTAGACAGGGGTCACATCACTTCAGTGATCAGTGCAGAGATGTGTCACAGTGCCCCCTTAGGCAGAGCCTAGACAAATGTTACATCACCTGGATTATCAATACAGATTGATTTCACAAAGCACCTTGCAGGCAGAGCCTAAAGAAGAGTTACATCACCTTTGTGATCAGTGCAGAGATATGTCACAATGCCCCTGTAGGCAGATCCTAGAGAAGAATTGCATCACCTGGGTTATCAGTGCAGAGATATGTCACAATACCACCTTTAGGCTGAGCCTAGACAAGAGTTACATCACCTGGGTGATCAGGGCCGAGGTATGTCACAATGCCCCCTGTAGGCTGAGCCCACACAAGAGTTGCATCACCTCAGTGATCAGTGCAGAGATATGTCTCAATGCCTCCTGTCAGAAAAGCCCAGAAAAGAGTTACATCATCTCGGTGATCAGTGCAGGGATATATCAAAATCCTCATGTGGGCAGAGACTAGACAAAATTTACATCACCTGGGTGATCAGTGAACAGACATGTCACAATATCCATGTAGGCAGAGCCTAGGCAAGAGTTACGTCACCTGGGTGATCATTGCAGAGTGATGTCACAACTCACTCTGCAGGCAGAGACTAGACAAGAGTTACCTCACCTGAGAGATCAGTGCAGAGATATGCCACAACGCCCTCTGTAGGCAAAGACTAGACAAGAGTTACATCACCTGTGTGATCAGTGCAGAGATAAGTCACAGTGTCTCCAGTAGGCAGAGCCTAGACCAGAATTACATCACCTGGATGATCAGGTCAGAGATATTTCACAATGCCCTCTACAGGCAGATCCTAGACAAGACTAGCATCACCTCGGTGATCAACAGAGAGATATGTCTCAATGCCCCCTGTCAGCGAAGCATATACAAGAGTTACATCATCTCAGTGATCAGTGCAGTGATATGTTAAAATGCCCCGGTAGGCAGAGCCTAGACAAGAGTTACATCACCTGGGTGATCATTGCAGAGTGATGTCACAATGCCCTCTGTAGGCAGAGACTAGACAAGAGTTACCTCGCCTGAGAGATCAGTACAGAGATATGCCACAACGCCCTCTGTAGGCAAAGACTAGACAAGAGTTACATCACCTGTGTGATCAGTGCAGAGATATGTCACAATGTCTCCTGCAGGCAAAGCCTAGGCAAGAGTTACATCACCTTTGTCACCAGTTCAGAGATATGTCAAAACGCCCCTGTAGGCAGAGACTAGAGAAGGGTTACGTCACCTAGTTGATCAGTGCAGAGATATTTCACAATGCCCCCTGCAGGCAGAGGGTAGACAAGAGTTACATCACCTAGGTGATCAGTGCAGATATATTTCACTATACACTCTGTAGGCAGAGCTTATAAAACTGTTACATCACCTTCAAGATCAGTGCAGTGATATGTCACAGAGACCCCTGTAGGCAGAGCGTAGACAAGAATTCTCTCCCCAGGGTAAGCATGGCAGAGAAATGTCACAAGGCCCCTGAAGGAAGAGCTTAGAGGAGTTACATCACTGGGTGATCAGTGCAAAGATATGTCACAAACCCCCTGTAGGCAAAGCCTAGAAAATAGTTACGTCACTTGGGTGAACAGTGGAGAGATCTCTCAAAATTCCCCTGTAGGCAGAGCTTATAGCACAGTTTCATTACCTGGGTGATCAGTGCAGAGATATGCCAGAAATCCCAAATAGGCATATGCAAGACAAGAGTCCGTCACCTGGGTGTTCAGTGCAGAAATACGTCACAATGCCCCTGTAGGCAGAGCCTAGATAAAAGCCCCAACACCTGGATGATCAGTGCAGAGTTATGTCTCAAAGTCCCTTAACGCAGATCCTAGACAAGTGTTACATCACTGGGTGATCATTGCAGAGACAGGTCACAAAGCCCCCTGTAAGTAGAGCCTAGAGAGGAATTCTCTCCCCGGGGTGATTAGTGCAGTGATATGTCACAAGGCCCCTGTAGGCAGAGCTCAGATGAGTTACATCACCTGGGTGATCAGTGCAGAGTTATTCCACAATGCCCCCTGTAGGCAGAGCCTAGACAAGAGTTACATCACCTGGTTGATCAATACAGAGATATTTCACAAAGCCCCTGCAAAAAGAACGTAAGCAAGAGATACAGCACCTAGATGATCAGTGCAGAGATACGTCACAAGGCCCCCTGTAGACAGATCCTGGACAACAGACAAATCAGCTTGATGATCAATGCAATGATCTGTCTCTGTGTCCCAGTAGGCAGAGCCTAGTCAAGCGTTACATCACCTGGGTAATCAGTGCAGAGATAAGTCACAAATCCCCCATACACCGAGCCTAGACAAGACAAGAGTCACATCACCTTGGTGATCAGTGCAGCAATATGTCGCAATGCCCAGTAGGCAGATCCAACACAAGAGTTACAACACCTGGGTGATCAGTGTAGAGATATGTCACAATGCCACCGTAGCAGAGCATAGACAAAAGTCCCTTCACCTGGGGGATCAGCGCAAAGTTATGTCACAAAGTCTTTTTAGACAGATCCTAGACAAGTGTTACATCACCTGGGTGATCAGTGCAGAGATATGTCACAATGCCACTGTTGGAAGATCCTAGAAAAGAATTACATGACCTAGGTGATTAGTGTAGAGATACGTCGCAGTGCTCCAGCAGGCAGAGCTTTGACAAGTGGTACAACACCTTGGTGAACATTGCAGGGATATGTCACAAAGCACCATGTAGTCAGATTCTAGACAAGAGTTACATCACCTGGGTGATCACTGCAGAGATATGCCACAGTGCCACTGTAGGCAGAACCTAGAAAAAAATACGTGATCTAGGTGATCAGTTCAGAGATACATCGTAATGTCCCTGTAGGCAGAGCCTAGACAAATGGCATATCACCTGGGTGATCATTGCAGGGAAATGTCACAAAGCACCCTATAGGCAGATCCTAGACAAGAGTTACATTACCTGGGTGATCACTGCAGAGATATGTCACAATGCCACTGCAGAGAGATCCTAGACAAGGGTTATATGACCTAGGTGATCAGTGCAGAGATACTTCACAATGCCCCTGTAGGCAGAGCCTTGACAAGTGGTACATCACCTGGGTGATCATTGACGGGATATGTCACAAAGCAACCTGCAGGCAGATCCCAGACAAGAGTTACATCACTTGGGTGATCAGTGCAGAGGTATGTCACAGGCCCCCTGTAGGCAGAGCCTAGACACGAGTTATATCACTTGGGTGTCCAGTGCAGTGATATGTCAAAATGCCGCGTAGCCAGAGCCTAGACAAAAGTTACATCACTTGGGAGATCAGTGCAGAGATATGTCACAATGTCCCCAGTAGGCAGAGCCCAGACAACAGTTGGATCACCTGGCGATTAGTGCAGATATATGTCTCGATCCCCCTGTGGTCACAGCCTAGAAAATAGTTACATCACCTCGGTTAACAGTGCAGAGATATGTCAAAATGCCCCTGTAGGCAAAGCCTACGCTAGTGTCACATCACTTAGGTGATCAGTTCAGAGACGTGTAACAATACCCCCTGAAAGGAGATCCTTGACAAGAGTTACATCACCTCGGTAATCAGTGCAGAGGTATGTGACAAGGCTCCTTTAAGCAGAACCTAGACAATAGTTAGATCACCTGAGTGATCAGTGCAGAGATCTGTCACAATGTCCCTTTAGGCAGTGCTTAGACCAGAGTTACATGACCTGGATGATCAATGCAGAGATATGTCACATTGCACCCATAGCCAGATCCAAGACAAAAGTCCGTCACCTGGGTGATCACTGCAGAAATATGTGACAGTGTCCCCAGTAGGCATAACCTGGAGAAGAGTCCCATCACCTGGGTGATCAGTGCAGTGTTATGCCACAATGCCACCTGTAGACAGAGATTAGAGAAGAGTTACATATCCTGTTTGATCAGTAAATATATATTTCACAATGCCCCTGCAGGCAGAACGTAATCAAGAGTAACATCACCTAGACAATCAGTGCAGAGATATGTCAAAAGACCCCGTATTGGCAGAGCCTGGGTAAGAGGTACATCAGCTCGGTGATTAGTGCAGTGATATGTCACTATGCCCCAGTAGGCAGAGCCTAGTCAAACGTTACATCACCTTGGTGATCAGTGCGGAGATATGTCACAAATCCCCCATACAGAGAGCCTAGAAAAGGGTCCTGTCACCTGGGTGATCACTGCAGAGATATGTCGCATGCTCCCATAGGCAGATCCAACAAAGACTTACATCACCCGGGTGATCAGTGTAGAGATGTGTCACAAAGCCCTGGTAGGCAGAGCCTAGACAAGGGTTACATCACCTGGGTGATCAGTGCAGTGATAGGTGAAAATGCCCATGTAAACAGAGCCTAGAGAAGAGTTACATCATCTTGGTGATTAATGCAGTGATATGCCACAAAAATCCCTGTAGACAGAGCCTTGACAACGTTAAATCCCCTCGATGATCAGTGCGGATATTTGACACAATGCCCCCATAGATAGAGCCTAGACAAGACTTCCATCTCCTGGGTGGTCAGAGCAAAACTATGTTACAAATCCCCCTCTAGGCAGAGTATAGAGAAGAGTCCCATCACCTGAGTGATCAGTGCAGTGATATGTCACAAAGACCCCTGTAGGCAGAGCGTGGAGAAGAGTCTCATCACCTGTGGGATCAGTGTAGTGATATGTCACAATGCCCCTGTAGGCAGAGTGTAGACAACAGTTGCATTACCTGGGTGATCAGTGCAGAAATATGTAACAATGCCCCCATTGGAGTGGAGTGGACAAGAATGGATTGGAGTGGGGTGGAGTGGAAAGGAATGGTGTGTAATGGAATGGAGTGGTGTGCAGTGGAGTGGAATGGAATGGAATGAAATGGAGTCGATGGAGTGCAGTGGACTGGAATGGAATGGGGTGGAGTGGAATGGAATGAAGTGGAGTGGAATGGAATGGAGTGGAATGGAACGGAATGGATTGAAGTGGAATCGAGTGGATTGGACTGGAGTGAAGTGAACTGGAATTGAGTGGAATGGAGTGGAAAGGGTGGGATGGTATGGAGTGGAGTGAGTGTAATGGAATGGAATGGAATGGAGTGGAGTGAAGTTGAGTGAAATGGAGTGGAGTGGAATGGAATGGAAAGGAGTGGAATGCAAAGGAATGCCCTGGAATGAAACGGAATGGAATAGAATGCAAGGTAATGGAAAACAATGCAATGCAATGCAAAGCAAAGGAATAGAATGCAATGCAATGGAAAGTTGACATGTAATGTTAGCTGAGATTATACCACTGCACACCAGCCTGGGTGACATAGTGATATCCTCTCAAAAGAAAGGAATGGAATGCAACGGTTTGAAATGGAATGGAATGGAATGGAATCGCATGAAGTGGATTAGAAAAGAGAGGAGTGGAGTGGAGTGGAATGGAGTCGAATGGAATGGGATGGAGTGGAATGGGAAGGAGTGGAGTGGAGTGGAGTGAAAACGAGTTGAATGGAATGGAATGGAATGGAATGGAATGGAGTGGAATGGAGAGGATTGGAATGGAAAGGAGAGGAGGGGAGGGGAATGGAGTGGAATGGAATGAAACTGAGTGGAGTCGAGTGCAGTGGATTGCAATGGAATGGAGTTGAGTGGAGTGGAATGGAAAGCAGTGGAAGGGAGTGGAGAGAAATGGAATGGAACGCAATGGAATGGTGAAAAGAAATGTGTGCTGAGATTGCATGACTATGCTACAGCATCGGTGACAGAGGGATATACTTTCAAAAGAAAGGAGTGGAATGTAAGGGATTGGATAGGAATGGAATGTAACGGATTGGAGTGGAGTGGAATGCAATTAAGTGGGTTGGAGTGGAGTGCAGTGGAATGGAATGGAACGGAAAGGAGAAATGAAATGTGAGCTGAGATTGTGCCACTGCACAGCAGCCTGGGTGACAGAGTGAGATCCTTCCAAAAAAAGGAATGGAAATTAATGCAGTGGAAAGGAACAGACTGTACTGGAGAGGAGTGGAGTGGAGTGAAGTAGAGGGGATTGGAGTGGAATGCAGTGGAATGGAATGGCATGGAGTGGAGTGGAATGCAGTGGGGTGGAGTGGAATGGGGTGGAGTGGAATGGGTTAGAGTGGATGGGACAGGAGAGGAAAGGAGTGGAGAGGTGTGGAATGGGGAGGAGAAGAATGGAATGGGATGGAGAGCAGTGGAATAGAGTGGAATGTAATGGAATGGAAAGGAGTGGAGTGGATTGGAGTGGAGAGTAGGGGAGTAGAGTGGAATGGAGTGGAATGGAATGGAATGGAGTGGAATGGAGAGGAGTGGAGTGCAGTGGAATGGAATGGAATGGATGCAGTGGGGTGGAGTGGATTGGAATCCAGTGGAGTGGAGTGGAATGGAGTAGAGTGGAATGAAATGGAGTGGAGTGGGGTGGAGTGGAGAGGAATGGAGTGGATTGGACAGGAATGGAATGGAGTGGAGTGGAGTGGAATGGAGTGGAGTAGATAGGATTGTAATGGAGTGAAGTGGAATGGAATGGAGTGGAGTCAAATGGAATGGATTGGAGTGGAGTGGAATGGAGTGGACTGGATTGGCCTGGAGTGGAGTGGAGTGGAATGGAATGGAGTGGCGTTTAGTGGAGTCTATTGGAGTGGAATGGAGTAGAGTGAAAAGGAATGTAGTGGAATGCAGTGGAGAGCAAAGGAGTGGAGTGAAATGGAGTGCAATGGAGTGGAGTGGAATGAAATACAAAGGAATGGAAGGGAATGCAATGGAATGCAATGGAGTAGAATACAATGCAATGGAAAGTTGACATGTAATGTGAGGTGAGATTGTGCCACTACAATTAAGTCTTGGTGACACAGTGATATCCTGTCGAAAGGAAGGAATGGAATGCAATGGAGTGAAATGGAATGGAATGGAATGGAGTGGAGTGGAGTGGATTGGAATGGAGTGCAATGGAGTCGATTGGAAAGGAATGGAGAGAAGTGGAGTGGAGTGAAATAGAGTAGAATGGAATGGGATGGAATGGAATACAATGGAATGGTGAAAATAAATGTAAGCTGAGAATCTGCCACTGCACTCTTGCCTTTGTGACAGAGAGAGATCCTGTTTAAAGAAAGGAATGGAATGGAATGGAGTGGAATGGAATGGAAACGAATGGAATGGAATGGAATGGAATGGAATGGAATGGAATGGAATGGAATGGAATGGAATGGAATGCTTTGCAATGCAATGGAATGCCATGCAACGCAAAGCATTGTAAGGCAATGAAATAGAATGCAACGCAATGGAAAGTTGACATTCAATTTGAGCTGAGATACTGTAACTGCACTCCAGCCTGGGTAACACAGTGACATCCTGTTGAAAGAAAGGAATGGAATACAGTGGAGAGAAATGGAATGGAATGGACTGGATTGGAGTAGAATGGAGTGGATTGGAGTGGTATACAGTGGGGTGGATTGGAATGGGGTGGAGCGGATTGAACTGGATTGGAATGGAATGGAGAGGAGTGGAATGGGGTGGAGTGGAATGGAATGGAATGGAGTGAAGTGGAATGCAGTGGAAAGGATTGGAATGGAATGGAGCGGAGTGAATTGGAGTGGAGTGAAGTGGAGTAGAGTGGAATGGAGTAGAATGGAACGGAACGGAGAGGAGTGGAGTGGAAGGTAATGGAATGGAGTGGAAAGGAGTTCACTGGAGTGGAATGGAGTGGAATGAAGTGGATTTGAGTGGAGTAGAATGGAATGGAATGGAGTGGTATGGAGTGGAATAGAAAGGAAAGGAATGGAGTAGAGTGGAGTAGAATGGAGTTGACAGGAATGGAAATGAGTGGGGTGAAATGGAACAGAGGGGAGTGGAATGGAGTGGAGTGGAAGGGGGTGGAATTGAATGGAAGGGAATGGAGTGGAGTGGAATGGAATGCAGTGGAGTGCAGTGGGATGCAGTGGAGTGGACTGGAATGGAGTGGAGTGAAGTGGAATGGAGTGGAATGGAGTGGAGTGAGAGGAATGGAAAGTAATATAGTGGAGTGGAGTGGAGTGGAGTGGAATGGACTGGAATGGAGTGGGATGGAATGGAATGGAGTGGAATGGAATGGAATGGAATGGAATGGAATGGAGTTAAGTGTGGTGGAGAAGAGTGGAATAGAGTGGAATGGAATGGAATTTAATGGAGAGGAGTGGAGTGGAGTGGATTGAAGTGGAATGGAATGGAGTGCAGTGGAGTGCACTGTAATGGAATGGAATGCAATGGAGTGGGGTGGAGTGGAGTGGAGTGGAGGTGAATGGGGTTGAATGGAATGGAAGGAAGTGGAATGGAATGGAATGGGATGGAAAGGAATGGAATGGAATGGAATGCAATACAATGCTCTGGAATGCAACGCAATGCAATGCAATGCAAGGCAATGGAATAGAATGCAATGCAAAAGAAAGAGGACATGTAATGTCAGTTGAGACTGTGCCACTGCACTCCAGTCTGGGTGATACAATGATATCTTGTTGAAAGAAAGGAATGGAATGCAGTGGAGTGAAATCAAACGGAATGGAATGTAATGGAGTGGATTGGAGTAGAGTGGAGTGCAGTGGAGTGGAATGCACTACAGAGGAGTGGCATGGGGTGGAGTGGACTGGACTGAAGGGGAATGGAGTGGAGTGGAGTGGAATTGGGTGTAGTGCAATGGAAAGGAAGGGAGTGGAGTGGAATGGAGTGGATTGGAATGCAATGGAATGGAGCATAGTGAAGAGGAGTGGAGTAGAGTGGAGTGGAATGGAAAGGAATGGAGTGGAATGGAGTGGAATGGAGTGGAGTGGTGTGGAGTGGAGTGGAATGTAATGGAATAAAATGGAGTGGAATGCAATGGAATGGAGTTCAGTGGAGTGGAGTAGAGTGGAATGGAGTGGAATGTATTGTAACGGAAAGGAGTGGAGTGGAGTGGAATGGAATAGAATGGAATAGAATAGAA
>NC_000024.10:10891942-10896525 GCF_000001405.40 Homo sapiens | reverse complement strand
AATGGTGAAATGTAATGTAAGCTTAGATTGTGCCACTGCACTCCTGTCTTGGTGAGAGCGTGATATCCAGTCCAAAAAAAAAAGAATGCAATTGAATGAAGAAGAATTGAATTCATTAGAGTGGAGTGGAGTGGAGTGCATTGGAGTGGAGTGGAAGGGAATGGAATGGAGGGGAATGGAATGGAATGGAATGGAATGGAATGGAATGGAATGGAATGGAATGGAATGGAATTTAATGGAAGGGTGAAACAAAATGTGGGTTGAGATTGTGCCACTGCACTCCAGCCTGTGTGACAGATTGCGATCCTGTAGAAAGAAAATCAAGGAATAGAATACAGTGGAATAAAATGGAATGGAGTGGAGTGGATTTGAAAGGAGTGGAATGGAATGGGATGGAATGAAATGGATTGGAGTGGAGTGGAGTGGAATGGAGTGGAGTGGAAAGGAGAGGAGGGGAGTGGAGTGGAAAGGAATGATATGGAGAAAAGTGAAGTGTGCTGAGTTTGTGCCACTGCGCTACAACCTGTGTGACAGGGACAATGTGTTGAAAGAAAGGAGTGGAATGGAAGGGATTTAAATGGAATGGTAAGGAATGGATTGGAGTGGAGTGGAATTGAGTGGAGCTGAGTGCAATGCAGTGGAATGGAATGGAATGGAATGGAATGGAATGGAATGGAATGGAATGGAGTGGAATGGAATGGAATGGAATGGAGAGGAACGGAATGGAATGGAATGGAGTTGAATGGAATGGAATGGAGTGGAATGGAATGGAATGCAATGGTGAAATAAAATATGTGCTAAGATTGTGCTATTGCACTGCAGTCAGGGTGATAGTGTGAAATCCAATCGAAATAAAGGAATGGAATGGAATTGAGTGGAGTGGAGAGGAATGGAGAGGAGTGGAGTGGAATGTAATGGAATGGAGGCTAATGGAATGGTGAAATGAAATGTGAGCTGAGATTGTGCCACTGCAATCCAGCCTTGGTGACTGTGCCACTGCAATCCAGCCTTGGTGACACAGGGAAATCCTGCCAAAAGAAAATATTGGAATGGAATGCAGTGGTATGGTATGGAATGGAGTGTAGTGAAATGGAAAGGACTGGAATGTAGTGAAATGGAATCAGATGTAATGGAATGTAGTTGAGTACAGTGAAATGGAGTGGATTGGAGTGGAAAGGAACAGAACAAAACAAACCGAATGGAATGGAACAGAGTGGAGCGGAGTGGAGTGGAGTTGTGTGGAGTGGATCGGAGGGCAGGGAAATGGAATGGAGGGGAGCGGTCTGAAGTGGAGTGGAATGGATAGGAGTAGAGAGTATTTGAATGGAGTGGACTGGAGTGGACTGAAGAGGAGTGGAAAGGAGTAGAGTGGAGTGGAATGCAGTAGACTGCAATGGAGTAGAGTGGAATGGCATAGAATGGAATGGAGTGGAACAGAAAGGAAATTAGTGGAATGGAGTTGAGTGGAGTGGAGAAGACTGGAATGGAATGCAATGGAGTGGAACAGAATGGAATGGAGTGCAGTGCAGTGGAGTGCAGTGGAGAGGAAAGGAGTGCAATGGAATTCGAAGGAAAGGAAATGAGTGGAATGGACTGGAATGCAATGAAGTGGAGTGGAGTGGAATGGAATGGAGTGGAGTCTAGTGGAGTGGAATAGAATGTAATGGAATGGTGAAATGAAATGAGAGCTGATATTGTGTCACGGCAATCCAGGCTGGGTGACAGAGTGAGATACTCTCGAGGAAGGAATGGAATGGAATGGAATGGAATGGAATGGAATGGAATGGAATGGAATGGAATGGAGAGGAATAGAATGGAGGAAGTGGAAAGGAAATAACAGAAGTGTAGTGGAATGGAGTGGATTGGATGGGAGTGAAATGGAAAGGAATGGAGTGTAGTGCAGTGGAGTGGAAAGGAATAGAATGGTATGGAATGGAATGGAATGGAATGGAATGGAATGGAATGGAAGGGAATGGAATGGAGTGCAGTCGAGAGGAATGGATTGGAAAGGAATGGAGTAGAGGGGAATGGACTGGAATGGAATGGAATGGAATGGAGTGCAGAGGAGTGAAATGGAATGGAATGGAATAGACTGGAGTAAAGAGGAGTGCAATGGGCTGGAATGGAATGGAGAGGAGTGGAATGGAATGGAGTGCAATGGAATGGAATAGAGTGTTAAGGCATTTAATGGAATGGAATGGAATGGAAAGCAAAGGAATGGAATGGAATGGATTGGAAAGGAATGGAATAGGATAAAATGGAATGGAATGGAATGGAACGGAATGGAGAGTACTGGAGTAGAGTGGAGTGCAGTGGAGTGAAGTGGAGTGGAATGGAATGGGGTGGAGGGCAGTGGAATGGATTGGAATGGAATGAGGTGGAGAGATATTGGGTGAAGACGAGTGCAGTAGAATGGAGTAGAATGGAATGGGTTAGAGTGGAATGGAGTGGAGTAGAGTGCAGTGGAGTGGAGAGAAGTGGAATGGAGTGGAATGGAATCACATGTAACGGAATGCAATGGAGTAGAGTGGAGTGGAGTGGAGTGGATCGGAGTGCAGTGGAATGGAATGGAAGAGAATGGAATGGAATGGAGAGAAGTGGAAAAGAATGGAGTGGAGAGTAGTGGGGTTTAGGTTAATGGAGTGGAGGGGAGTGGAGTGAAATGGAATGAAATGTAGTGGAGTGGAATGTAATAGAGTGGAGAGAATGGAATGGAATGGAATGGAATGGAATGGAATGGAATGGAATGGAATGGAGAGGAATAGAATGGAGGAAGTGGAAAGGAAATAAGAAAAGTGTAGTGGAATGGAGTGGATTGGATTGGAGTGAAATGGAAAGGAATGGAGTGTAGTGCAGTGGAGTGGAAAGGAATAGAATGGAATGGAATGGAAAGGAAGGGAATGGAAGGGAAGGGAATGGAGTGCAGTCGAGAGGAATGGATTGGAAAGGAATGGAGTACAGGGGAATGGACTGGAATGGAAAGGAATGGAATGGAATGGAGTGCAGTGAAGTGGAATGGAATGGAATGGACTGGAGTAGAGAGGAGTGCAATGGGCTGGAATGGAATGGAGAGGAGTGGAATGGAATGGAGTGGAATGGAAGGGAATAGAGTGGAAAGGAATTTAATGGAATGGAATGGAATGGAAAGCAAAGGAATGGAATGGAATGGAATGGAATGAAATGGAAGGGAGTAGAGAAGAGGAGTGGGATTGATTTGAGTGGAGTGGATTGCACTGGAATGGAATGGAATGCAGTGGATTGGAGTGGGGTGGACTAGAGTGAGGTGGAGTGGAGTGGAAATGAATGGAGTGGAATGGGATGAAATTGTGTGGAGCGGAGTGGAATAGAATCCAATGGAATGGAGTGGAGTGGAGTCGTGTGGAGTGGATTGGAATGGAATGGATTGGAGGGGAATGGAGTGGAATTGAGTGAAGTGTAGTGAACGGGAATGGAATGAGGTGGAGTGGAGTGGAGTGGAGTGAAGTTGAATGGAATGGAGTATAATGGAGTGTAATGGAGGAGAATGGAGTGGAATGGAATGGAATGGAATGGATTGGAGTGGAGTAGAGTGGAGAAGAGTGGAGTAGAGTTTAGTGGAATTGAGGTGAATGGAGTAGATTTTAATGGAATGGAATGGATTGGATTGGATTGGAGTGGAGTGGAGTGAATAGGAGTGGATTGGAATGGAATAGAATGGAGTGGAATGCAATGGAATGGTATGGAATGGAATGGAATGGTATGGAATGCAATGCAATGCAACGCAATGCAAAGCTATGCAATATAATGTGATGTAATAGAATAGAAGGCAATGCAATGGAAAGTTGTCATGTAATGTGAGCTGAGATTATGCCACTGCACTTTAGCCTGGGTGACACAGTGATATCGTGTCGAAAGAAAGGAATGGAATTCAATGATGAGAAATGGAATGGAATGGAATGGAATGGAATGGAATGGAATGGAATGGAATGGAATGGAATGGAATGAAATGGAGTGGAATGGAATGGAATGGAATGGATTGGAATGGAGTGAAGTGGAGTGGAAAAGAGTGGAAAGGAGTGGAGTGGAATGGAGTCGAATGGACTGGGATGTATTGAAATGGAGTGGAGTGGAATGGAGTGAGAAAGTGTGGAATGAAATGGGATGGAATGGAATGCAAAGGAATAGTGAAAAGTAAACTGAGCTGATATTGTGCCACTGCACTCCAGCCTTTGTGACAGAGAGAGATCTTGTGTAAAGAAATGAATGAAATTGAATGTAGTGGAATGGAATGGAGTGGAAGGCAGGAGAGTGGAGAGGAGTGGACTGAATTGGAGTGGAACGGAATGGAATGGGGTGTAATGGAGTGGAGTGGAGTGGTATGGAATGGAGTGCAGTGGAATGGAACGGGTTTGAATGGAATGGAATAGATTGGAGTGGAATGGAATAGAGTGGAGTGGAATGAAGTGGAGTGGAGTGAAATGGAATGGAGTGTTGTGGGGTGAAGTGGAGTGGAGTACAGTGGAGTGAAGTGGAATGGAGTGGAGTGGAGTGGAGTGATGTGGAGTGGAATGGAATGCAATGGAATGGAATGGAATGGAATGGAA
>NC_000024.10:10871897-10890419 GCF_000001405.40 Homo sapiens | reverse complement strand
AGTGGAGTGGTGTGGAATGGAGTGCAGTGTAGTGGAATGAAGTAAAGTGGAAAGGAATGTACTGGATTGGAGTGGAGTGGAGTGGAATGGAGTGGAGTGGAATGGAGTAGACTGCAATGGAGTAGAGTGGAATGGAGTGGAATGGAATGGAATGGAGGGGAACAGAAATGTAATGAGTAAAATGGATTTGAGTGGAGTGGAGTGCAGTGGATTGCAATGGAATGGAATGGAATGGAGTGGAGTGCAGTGGAGTGGGAAGGAGTGCAATGGAATTGGATTGGAAGGAAATGAGTGGAGTGTACTGGAATGGATTGAAGTGGAGTGGAGTGGAATTGACTGGAGTGGAGTCTAGTGGAGTGGAATGGAATGGAAGAGAATAGAATGGATTTGAATGGACAGGCGAAGTGAAATGAAAGCTGACATTGTGCCACAGCACTCCAGGCTGGGTGACAGAGTGAGATATTTTCGAGGAAAGCAATGGAATGGAATGCAGTGGAATGAAATGGAATGGAATGGAATGCAGTGGAATGGAATGGAATGGAATGGATGATAACCGAGTGGACTGGAGTGAAGTGGAGTTGAGTGAAGTGGATTGGATTGCAGTGGAATGGAATGGAATGGAATGGAATGGAATGGAATGGAATGGAATGGAATGGAATGGAATGGAATTTAATGGAATGGAATATAATGGAAGGGAACGGAATAGAAAGGAATGGAGTGGAATGGAACAGAACGGAATGGAGCAGAATGGAAAGGAGTGGACTGGAGTAGAGTTGAGTGGAGTGGAAAGGACTGGAATGGAATGGACTTGAGTGGAGTGGAAAGGAATGCAATGGAATGGTGAAATGAAATGTGATCTAAGATTGTGCCACTGCACTCTAGTCTGTGTGACAGAGTGAGATCCAGTCGAAATAAATGAAAGGAATGGAATGGAGTAGCATAGAATGAAAAGTAGGGGAGTGGAATGGAATGGAGTGGAATTGGGTGAAGTGGGGTGGAATGGATTGGAGTGGATTGGAAAGGAGTGGAGTTGAATGGAATGGAGTTGAGTTGACTGAAGTGGATCAGACTGCAGTGGAATTGAAAGGATTTGAATGGAATGGAATGGAATGGAATGGAATGGAATGGAATGGAATGGAATGGAATGGAATGGCATGGCATGGCATGGCATGGAATGGAATGGAATGGAATGGAATGGAATTGATTGGAGTGGAATGGAAGGGAATGGATTGTAATGTATGGGAGTGGAGTGGAATGGAATGGAGTGGAGTGGAAAGGAGTGGAGTTGAATGGAGTGGAGTGGGGAGGAGTTGACTGAAGTGGATCAGAGTGCAGTGGAACTGAAAGGAATGGAATGGAATGCAATGTACAGGAATGGAATGTAATGAAATGGAATGGAATGCAATAGAGTGGAATGGAAGAGAACGGATTGCAGTGTAGTGGAGTGGAGTGGAATGGAATGGAGTGGCATAGTTTGGAGTGAATTGGAGAGCAGTGGAGTGGTATGGAATGGAACGGTGTCAAATGGAATAGAATGGAGTGGAGAGGAATGAAATGGACTGGAGTGAAATGGAATAGAATGGAGTGGAATACAATTGAGTGGAATGAAAAGAAATGGAGATGATTGGAGTGGAATGGAATGGAGTGGATATGAATGGAATGGTATGGAATGAAATGGAATGGAGTGGAGAGGAACGGAGTGGAGTGGAGTGGAATGGAATGGAGATGAGTGGAATGAAATGGAGAGGAGTGGAACGGAGTGGAGTGGAGTGGAGTGGAATGGAGTGGAATGGAATGGAATGGTGAAATGAAATGTGAGCTAAAATAGTACCACTTCACTCCAGTCCTGGTGACAGAGTGAGATCCACTCAAAATAAAGGATTGCAATGGAATGGAGTAGAATAGAATGAAAAGGAGTGGAGTTGAATAGAATGGAGTGGAATGGGGTGGAGTGGAGTGGAAAGAGTGGAGATGAATGGAGTGGAGAGGAATGGAAGGGAGTTGACTGAAGTGGATCAGAGTGCAGTGGAATTCAAAGGAATGGAATGCAATGGAATTCAATGCAATGCAATGGAATAGAATGGAATGGAACGGAAAGGAATGGAGTGGAACAGAATGGAATGGAATGGAAAGGAATGGAATGGAGTGGACTGGAATGGAAGGGAATGGATTGTAGTGGAGTGGAGTGGAGTGGAATGGAATGGAGTAGCATGGTGTGGAGTGAATTGGAGTGCAGTGCATTGGAAAGGAATAGAATGGTGCCAAATGGAATAGCATGGAGTGGAGTGGAATGGAATGGAATCGAATGGACTGGAGTGAAATGGAATGGAATGGAGTGGAATAGAATTGAGTGGGGTGAAAAACAATGAAGTTGAGTGGAATGGAATGGAATGGAGTGGAATGGAATGGAATGGGATGGAATGGAGTGGAGTGGAATGGAATGGAGTGGAGTGGAATGGAATGGAGTGGAGTGGAGTGGAATGGTGGAATGAAATGTGAGCTAAGACTCTGCCACTGCACTCTGATCTTGGTGACAGAGTGAGATCCAGTCGAAATAAAGGAATGGAATGGAATGGAGCAAAATGGGATGGAATGGAGTGTAGTGTTGTGGAGTGGAGTGGAGTTGAGTAGAGTGCAATAGAATAGAATGGACTGGAGTGAAATTGAATGGAATGGAGTGGAATAGAATTGAGTGGAGTGTAAAGCAATGCAGTTGATTGGAGTGGAATGGAATGGAGTGGACTGGATTGAAGTGGAATGAAGTGGAACAGAATGGAGTGAAGTGGAGTGGATTGTAGTGGAGTAGATTGGAGTGGAATGGCATGAAATGGAATGGAATGGAATGAAGTGGAATGGAATGTAACGGAAAGGGGAAATGAAAAGTGAGCTAAGATTGTGCCACTACATTCCAGTCTGGGTGACAGAGTGAGAGCCAGTCGAAATAAAGTTATGGAATGGAATGGAGTGGAATGGAATGGAATGGAGTAGATTGGAATGAAATGTAGTGGAATAGAGTGGAGTGGTGTGGAGTAGATTGGAATGGAATGGAATGGAATGGAATGGAATGGAATGGAATGGAATGGAATGGAATGGTGAAATGAAATGTGACCAAAGATTGTGCTACTGCACTACCGTCTGAGTGACAGAGTGAGATCCAGTCGAAATAAAGTTTCGGAATGGAATGGAGTAGAATGGAAAGGATTGGAGTATAGTGGAATGGAATAGCGTGGAATGGAGTGGAATGGTGTCTAAAGGAATGAAGTGGAATGGACTGGAGGATAATGGAGTGGAACGGAGTGGAATGGAAAGGAAGGAAATGTAGTACAATGGAATGGAATGGAGTTGAGTGGAGTGGAATGGAGAGTAGGGGAATCGAGTGGATTGGAAGGTAGTGGAATGGAGTGGAATGGAATGAAATAGAACAGAGTGGAATGGAATAGAATTGAGTGGAATTGAATTGACTTGGATGCAGTGGAGTGGACTGGAGTGGAGTGGAATGGTATGGAGTTTAATGGAATGGAACGGAACGTTACAAAAGGGAATGCAACGGAATGGAGTGGAGTGGAGTGGAGTGGATTGGACTGAAGTGTCCTGGAATAGAAAGGAATGGAAGGGAATGGGGTGGAGGGTAGTGGAGTGGAGTGCAGAGGAGTGGAAAGGAATGGGGAGGATTAGAATGGAATGCAATGGAACAGAATAGAATGGAATGGAACAGAATCAAAGGGTTTGGAGTGGAGAAGAGTTGAGTGGAGAGGATTGGAGTGCAGAAGAATGGAATGAAATGGAATGGAATGGAAAGGAGATGAGTGGAGTGGAATAGATTAGAATGGAGAGGAATGTAGTGAAATGGAGTGGCGTAGAAAGGAGTGGAGTGGAATGAAATGTAATGGAGTGGAATTGAAAGGAAAGGAGTTGAGAGGAGTAGATTAGAGTGCAGTGGAATGGAATGGAATGGAATGGAACGGAGTGGAGTGGAGTCGAGTTGATTGGAGTTGATCGGAGTGGAATGGAATTGAATGGAATCGAATGGAATCGAATCGAATCAAATGGAATGTAACGGACCAGAGTGAAGAGGAGTGGAGTGGACTTGAGTGAAATGGAATGGAATGGAGTGAAACGGAGTAGAGTGGAATGGTGTGTAATGGAATAGAATGCAGTGGAATGGAACAAAACGGAACACAATGGAAAGGAATGCAATGGAATGGAGTGGAGTTGGGTGGACAGAAGTGGAGATGAGTGGATTTGATTTTAGTGCAGTGGATTGGAATTGAATGGAGTGGAGTGGAGTGGAAATGAGTTCAGTGGTATGCAAAGGTATTTAATGGAGTGCAATGTTGAAAGGAAATGTGAGCTGAGATTGTGCCACTGCACTCCAGTCTGAGTGACAGAATTACATCCAGTCGAAATAAAGAAATGGAAAGGAATGGAGTAGAATGGAAAGGAATAGAGTTGCATAGAGTGGAGAGCTGTTGAATGCAGTACAGGGAATGGAGTGGAAGGCAATGGAGTGGCACGGATTGGAATGCAATGAAGTAGAATGGAATGGAATGGAGTGGAATGGAGTGGAGTGAAAAAGAATGGAGTGGAGTGAAAAAGAATGGAGTGGAGTGGTATGGAATGGAGTGGAATTGAGTGGAAAAGAATGGAATGGAATGGAAAGGATTGAAATGCAATGGAATGGAGAGAAATGAAATGGAACGTAGTAAATGGAATGGAATGGAGTAGAGGAGAGTGGAGTAGAGTGGAGTGGAGTGGAATGGAGTGGAATGTTGTGAAATGGAGTGGAGTAGAACTGAGTGGAGTGCATTGGAATGTAGTGGAATGGAATGGAATGGAACAGAATGGAATGGACTGGAGTATAGCAGAGGGGAGTGGAGTGGAGTGGATCGGAGTGTAATGGAGTAGAATAGATTGGAGTGGAGTGGAATGGAATAGAGTGGAGTAGAGTGGAATTTAGTGAAGTGGAGTGCAGTGGAGTGGAGAGGAATGGTGTGGAATGGAGGAGAATGGAATGGAGTGGAGTGGAATAGAATGAAATGTAATGGAAGGGAATTGAATGGAACGGACTGGAATGGAATTGAACAGAACAGAGTGGGGTGGAGTGGAGTAGACTGTATTTGATTGAAGTGGATTGGAGTGAAGTGCAATGGAATGGAATGGAAAGGAATGGAATGGAGAGGAATGGAATGGAATGAATGGAATGGAATGGAATGGAATGGAATGGAATGGAATGGAATGGAGTTCAGTGGAATCGAATGGAATAGAATGGAATGGAGTGGAGTGGAATGGAGTGGAGTAGAGTGGAGTGGAGTGGAATGGAATGGAAAGGAGTGGAGTGGAATGGAATGGAGTGCAGTCGAGAGGAATGGATTGGAAAGGAATGGAGTAGAGGGGAATGGACTGGAATGGAAAGGAATGGAATGGAATGGAGTGCAGTGAAGTGGAATGGAATGGAATGGAATGGAATGGAGTAGAGAGGAGTGCAATGGGCTGGAATAGAATGGAGAGGAGTGGAATGGAATGGAGTGGAATGGAAGAGAATAGAGTGGAAAGGAATTTAATGGAATGGAATGGAATGGAAAGCAAAGGAATGGAATGGAATGGATTGGAAAGGAATGGAATAGGATAAAATGGAATGGAATGGAATGGAATAGAATGGAATGGAATGGAGTGTGCTGGAGTAGAGTGGAGTGGAGTGGAGTGAAGTGGAGTGGAATGTGGTGGAGGGCAGTGGAATGGAATGGAATGGAATGAGGTGGAGAGATATTGGGTGAAGACGAGTGCAGTGGAATGGAGTGGAATGGAATGGGATGGAGTGGAATGGAGTGGAGTAGAGTGCAGTGGAGTGGAGAGAAGTGGAATGGAGTGTAATGGAATCACATGTAATGGACTGCAATGGAGTAGAGTGGAGTGGAGTGGAGTGGATCGGAGTGCAGTGGAATGGAATGGAAGGGAATGGAATGGAATGGAGAGAAGTGGAATAGAATGGAGTGGAGTGGTGTGTACTGGAGGGGAGTGAAATGGAGTGGAAAGAATTGGAATGCAATGGAATAGAGTGAAATGGAGTGGAATGTAGTGGAGTGTAGTGTAGCGGAGTGGAGTGGAGAGGAATGGAGTGGCATGGAGTGGAAAGGAGTGAAATGAATCGGAGTGGAGTGGAGTGGCATGAAAGGGAAAGCAGTGGAATCAAAAGGAATGGAATGGAACGGAACGGAATGGAAAGGAGTGAAGTGGAGTACAGTTCTGTGGAGTGGATTGGAGTACACTGGAATGGAATGGAGTGCTATGGAATGGAGTAGATGGGAGTGGAGTGGAGTGGAGTGCAGTGGAATGGAGGGGAATGGAGTGGAATGGAATCGAGTGGAGTGGAATATAATGTAATGGAACGTAATGGAATGGAATGGAATATAATGGAATGGAATGGAACTGAGTGAAGTGGAGCGGAGTGGAGTGAAATGGATAGGAGTAGAGTAGAATGGAATGGAATTTAATGGAATGGAATGGAATGGAATGGAATGGAATGGGATAGAATGGAGTGGAGTGGAATGGAATGGAGTGGAGTGCTGTGTAGTTGAGTGGAGTGGATTGGCATGGAGTGTAGTGGAGAAAAATGGACCGCAATGGAGTTGAATGGAATATAATGGAGTGGAAAGGAATGGAATGGAATGGAATGCAATGGAATGGAATGGAATGGAATGGAATGCAAAAGATTGGAATTTAATGAAATGGAATGGAATTGATTGTAGTGGAGTGAAAAGCAATGGTGTGGATTGGAGTGGAATGGAAAGGAGTGAAGTGGAATGGAGTAGATTGGAGTGGAATTGAATGGAATGAAGTCGAGTGGATTGGAGTGGAGTGGAATGGAGTGGAATGAAGTGGAATGGAATGGAATGGAATGGAAAGGTGAAATGAAAAGTGAGCTAAGATTGTGCCACTTCATTCCAGTATGGTTGACATAGTGTGATCCGGTCAAAATAAATATATGGAATGGAATGGAGAAGAATGCAATGGAATGGAGTGGAGCGGACTGGAGTGGAGTGGAATGCAATGGAACGGTGGAATGAAATATAAGCTAAGATTGTGCCACTGCACTCCAGTGTGGGTGACAGGGTGAGATCCAGTCGAAATAAACTTACAGAATGGAATGGAGTAGAATGAAATGCAATGGAGTGGAGTGGAATGGAATGGAGTGGAACGAAGTGGAGAGGAGTCTAACGAAATGAAGTGCAATGGAGTGGAGGAGAATGGGTTGGAATTTAAAGTAATGGAATGGAGTGGAATGGAATTGAATGGAGTGGAATGGAGTTGAGTAGAGTGGAATGGAGAGGACTGGAATGGAGTGGAGTGGAATGGATTGGAATGGTGTAGAATGGAGTGTAATGGAACAAAGTGTAATGGAATGGAATGGAGTGTAATTGAATGGACTGGATGAGTAGAGTGGAATGGAGTGAAGTGGCATGGAATGGAGTGGAAAGGAATGATACGGAACGGAACGGAATGGAACTGAATAGAATGGAGTGGAATGGAGTTCAGTGGAATGGATCGGAGTGCACAGAATAGAATGGAATGGAATAGAGTGGAGTGGAGTGGAATGTTATGTAATAAAGTGGAATGGAATGGAGTGGAGTAGAATGGAATGAAATTGAATAGAATGGAACGGAATCAAATGGTACAGAATGGAGTGGAGTGGAGTGGAGTTCAGTGCAGTGGATCGGAATGCAGTGGAATGGAATGGAAGGGAATGGAAAGGAATGGAATGGAGTGGAATGGAGTTGATTTGAGTGGATTGTACTGGAGTAAGGTGGATTGGAATGGAGTGGACTGGAATGGAGTAGAATGGAGTGGAATGGAATGGACTGGAAAGGAATGGAAAAAGTGGATTCGAATACAATGGAACGGAATGGTATGGTAAAATGAAATGTGATATAAGGTTGTGCAACAACACTCCAGTCTGGTTGACAGAGTGAAATCCAGTCACAATAAAGAAACGGAATGGAAAGGAGTAGAATGGAATGGAATTCAGTGGAGTAGAATGCAAAGAAGTGGAATGGAGTGGAATGGGGTGGGGTGGAATGGAATGGATTGGAAGGGAGAGGAATTGAATGGAGTGGAGTGGAATAGGATGGAGAAAAGTGGAGAGGAGTGGAATGCAGTGGAACGGAATGCAATGGAATGGAATGAAATGGAATAGAATGGAATGATGAAATGAAAAGAGAGCTAAGATTGTGCCTCTGCACTCAAGTCTGGGTAACAGAGATAATCCCGTGGAAATAAAGATTGGAATAGAATGCAGTAGCATTGAATGGAATGGAGTGGAGTGGAATGGAATGGAGTGGAATGGGGTGGAATGGAGTGGAATGGAATGGAGTGGAATGCAGTGGAATGGAGTGTACTGGAATGGAGTGGAAAGGAATGGAATGGAGTGGAGTCGAGTGGAATGGAGTGGACCAGAGTGGAATGGAATGAAGTTGAGTGGAATGGAGTAGAATGGAATGGAATGGAGTGGAGAGGAGTATACTGGAGTGGAGTGAAGTGCAATGGAGTGGCATGGAGTGAAATGGAATGGAGTGGAGTGGAGTGGGTTTTAATGGAGTGGAATGGCGATAAATGGAGGGGAGTGCAATGGAGTGGAGTGGAGTGGAATGGAATGTAGTGGAATGGAAGAGAATGGAAAGAAATGGAGTTGAAGTGAATGGAACGGAGTGGACTGGAGTGGAGTGGAGTTGAGCAGAAAGGGTCAGAGTGCAGTTGAAAGGAAAGAAGTGGAATGGAATGGAATGGAATGTAGTGGTTTGGAGTGGATTGGAGTAAAGTGGTGTGGAGTTGAGTGGAATGGAATGGAATGGCATGGAGTGGAGAGGAATGGAATCAAATGTAGTGGAATTGTACCGAATGGTATGGAGTGGAATGGAATGGAAAGGAATGTAGTATAATGGAGTGAAATGGAGTGGAGTTGAGTGGAGTAGGTCGCAGTGCAGTGGAATGTAATGGAATGGAATGAAATGGAATGGAAAAGAATGCTGCAAAAAAAGGTGAGCTAAGATTGTGCCACTGCACTCCAGTCTGTGAGACAGAGTGAGACCCAGTCGAAATAAAAGAACGTAAAGGAATGGAGTAGAATGGAATGAATTGGATTGGAGTGGAATGAAATGGAGTGGAATGGAGTGGTGTGGAGTGGAAGGCAGCTGAGTGGAATTTAGTGGAATGGAATGAAATGGAGCGGAATGGAAAGTAACGGAACGGAACAGAAAGGAACGTAATGCAACGGAATGGAGTGGAGTGAACTGGAGTTTATTGGAGTGGATCGGGGTGCAGCAGAATGGAATACAATGGAATGGATTGCAGTGGAGTGGAGAAGAGTGGAGTGTTCTCGAACGGAGTGCATTGGAGTGGAATGGATAGGAATGGAATGGAATGGAGTGGAGTGGAGTGGAATGGAATAGAATGGAATGGAATGGTATGGAACGGAAAGGAATGGAATGGAATAGAATGGCATGGAATGGAATGGAAGGGAAAGGATTCGAGTTGAATGGAGTTGAGTGGAGTTGAGTGGAGTGGATAAGAGTACAGTGGAAGGGATTGGAATGGAATGTAGTGGAGAGGAATGGAAGGGAATGGAATGGATTGGAGTGGATTGGAGTGGAGCGGATTGAAGAGGATTAGAGTGGAATGGAATGGAATGGAATGGAATGGAATGGAATGGAATGGAATTTAGTGGAATGGAATTGAGTGGAGAGGAGTGGAATGGATTGGTATGGAGTGTAATGGAACGGAGTCGAGTGAAGTGGAGTGGAGTGGAGTGGAGTGGAATGGAATGGAGTGGTGAAATGAAATATGAGCTAAGATTGTGGCACTACACTAGAGTCTGGGTGACAGAGTGAGATCCAGTCGAAATAAAGAATGGAATTGAATGGAGAAAAATGGAATGGAATTGAATGAAGTGGATTGGTATGGAGTGTAAAAGAGTGGAGTGGAATGGAGTGGAGAGGCATGGAGTGGAATGGATAGGAATGGAACGGAATGCAATGGAGGGGAATGCAATGGAATGGAGTTGAATGGAGTGGAGTGGAGTGGAATGGAGTGGAGTGGAGTGGAATGGATTGGAATGGAATGGAATGGAATGGTATGGAGTGGAATGGAATGGAATGGATGGGAACGGATCAGAATGGAATGGAATGGAATGGAATGGAAAGCAATGGAACAGAACAGAGCTGAGAGGAGTGGAGTGGATTGGAGTTGAATAGAGTGGATCGGAGTGCTCTGGATGGAAATGAATGGAAAGGAGTGGAGTGGAGTAAAGTGGAAGGGAGAGGAATGTAGTGGAATGGAATGAAGTTGAGTGCAATGAAATGTAATGGAACAGAATGTAATGGAATGGAATGGAATGGAACGGAATGGAATGGAAAAGTGTAATGAAATGTGAGCCACGATTCTGCCACTGCACTCCAGTATTGGTGACAGAGTGAGATCAAGTGGAAATAAAGGAATGAATTGAAATGAACTAGAATGGAATGGAATGGAGTGGAAGGGAATGGAGTGGAGAGGAGTGGAATGCAGTGGTGTGGAGTGGAATGCAGTGGAATGGAAAGGGTGGAGTGTAATGGAGTGAAATGGACTGGAAAGGAATGGAATGGAATGGAATTGAGTGGCATGGAATGGATTGAATAGGAGTGGAGTGGAGAGGAGAGGAGTGCAATGGAGTGTAATGGATTGAAATGAAGTGGAGTGTAATGGAGTGGAGTGGAATGGGTGGAGTGTAAGGGAATGGAACTGAAGGGAATGGACGGAAAGGAATGGAACAGAGTGCAGTTCAGTGGAAGGGGTTGAGTAAAGTGAATCGGAGTTCTGTGGAATGGAAGGAATTAAAGGGAATGGAGTGGAGTGGAATGTAAGGAAATGGAATGGAATGGAATGGAATGGAATAAACGTAATGGAAAGGAAAGGAATGGAATGGAATGTAGTGGAATGGAGTGGAGTGGAGCGGAATGGAGTGGATTGGAATGGGTGGAGTGGAATGGAGTGCAATGGAGTGGAATGGAATGGAAGGGAATGGAACTTAATGGGGTGGAAAGGAATGGAATAGAGTGGATTGGAGTGGAGTGGAATGGAATGGACTGGAATGGAATGTAGTGGAATTGGGTGGAATTGAGAGGAATGGAATGGAAAGGACAGGAATGCAATGGAATGGAGTGGAATGGAATGGAGTGCAATGGAATGCAGAGGAAAGGATGGGTGTGGAGAGGAGTGTACTGGAATAGAGTAGAATGGAGTGAAATGGAGTGGAGTGAAAAGGAGTGGAGTGGAAAAGAATAGAGTATAATGGAATGGAATGGAACGGAACTTAAAGGAAGTAGTGGAATGGAGTGGATTAGAGTGGAGTTGACTAGACTGGATCAGCATGCATTGGAATGGAATTGAATGGAACAGAGTAGATTGTAGTGGAATGGAGTGGAATGGATTAAAATGGAGTGAAATGGAATGGAGTAGAATGGAATGGAGAGGAACAGAGTGGAATGGTATGGAATGGACAGGAATGGAACAGAACGAAATGGAGGACAGTTGAGTGGAGTGGAGTGGAGTTAAGTCAAGTGTATCAGAGTGCAGTGGAATGGAATGGAAAGGAATCTAATGGAATGGAGTGGATTGTGGTTGAATGGAATTGAATGGTGTGGAGTAGATTTGACTGGAGTGGATTGAAGTTGAATGGAGTGGAATGGAATGGAATGGAATGTAGTGGAATAGAATTGAGTGGATTGAAATGTAATGGATTCGAGTAGAGTGGATTTGAGTGGAGTGGAGTGGAATGGAGTGAAAAGGTGCAGAGAAGAATAGAGTGGAATGGAATGGATTGGAGTGGAAGGGAATGGAGTGGCACAGAACAGAATGGAATGGAATGGAAAGGAATGTACCGGAGTGGATTGGAGTGGAGTTGAGTGGAGTAAATCAGAGTGAATTGGAACGGAATGGGATGGAATGGAGTGGACAGGAGTGGAGTGAAGCGGACTTCAGTGGAATGGATTGGAAAGGAAAGGAGTGGAGTGGAATATAATGGAATGGAACGGAACGGAATGGAACGGAATGGAGTGGAGTGCAGTGGAGTGGAGTTGAGTGGAGTGGGTCTGAGTGAAGTGGAATGGAATGGAATGGAATGGAATGGAATGGAATGGAATGGAATGGAATCTACTGGTATGGAATGTATGGAAAGAAATGGAATGGATTCGAGTGGAATAGAGTGGAGTGGAATAGAGTGGGGTGGAATTGAGTGGCGTGGAATGGAGTGGAAAAGAGTGGCATGGAATGGAACAGAATAGAATTGAACGGAACAGAACGGATTTGAACTAAGTGGAATGGAGTGGAGTGGATTGGAGTGCAATTGTGTGGAGTGGATCGGATTTCAGAGGAACTGAGTGGAATGGAATGGAATGCAATGGAATGGAATGGAATGGAATGGTGAGATGAAATGTCAGCTAAGATTGTGCCACTGCTCTCCACTCTTGGTGACAGAGTGAGATTCATACGAAATAAAGCAATGGAATGGAATGGAGTACAATGGAATGGAATGGAGTACAATGGAATGGAATGGAGTGGATTGGAATAGAATGGAGTGGAATGGAGTGGAGTGGAGTGGAATGTAGTGGAGTGGAATGGAGTGGAGTGGAGTAGATTGAAATGCCATGGTATGGATTTGAATGGAATGAAATGGAGTGGAGTGGAGTGCAATGGGGTGGAGTGGAATGGAATGGAATGGAATGGAGTGTAATGGAATGGAGTGAAGTGGAATGGAATGGTGTGGAGTGGTGTGGAGTCGAATAAAGTGGAAAGGAGAGAAATGGCGTGGAGCAGAACGGAGTGGAGTGTAATCGTATGGAGGGAAATGGAATGGAAGGGAACCGAATGGAATCGAACGGATTGGATTGGAGTGGAGTGGAATTGATTGGAGTGGATTACAGTGCAGTGGAATGCAATGGAATTTAATGGAATGCACAGGAGTGGATTGGAAGAGACTGGAGTGGAATGGAATGGAATGAAATGGAGTGGAGTGGAGTAGAATGCAATGAAGTGGAATGGAATGGAATGGAGTGCAATGGAATGGAATGGAATGGAGTGCAATGAAATGGAATGGAATGCAATATAATGGAGAGGAATGGAGTGCAATGGAATGGAATGGAATGCAATACAATGGAGAGGAATGGAGTGGAATGGAGTGGAAGGGCATGGAGTTTAGTGGAATGCATTGGAGTGGATATTAGTGGAGTGGAATTGAGTAGAATTGGATGAAATGGAGTGGAGTGGAAAGGAGTGGTGCGGAATGGAATGGAATGGAGTGGAGGGCAGTGGGGTGGAGTGGAGTGGAATTGAGTGGAATGGATTGGAGTGGAGTGGAATCGAATGGTATAGTATGCAATGGAATGGAATGGAACACAGTAGAAAGGAATACAAGAGAGTGCAGTGCACGGGATTGGAGTAGAGTTGAGTGGAGTGGTTCGGAGTGCATTGGAATAGAGAAGAATGTAAAAGAATGGAATGGAATGGAATGGAATGGAATGGAATGGAATGGAATGGAATGGACTGGTCAAAAGAAATGTGAGCTGATATTTTTCCACTGCACTCCAATCTGGGTGACTGAATGAGATCTAGTCAAATTAAAGCAATGTAATGGAATGGAGTAGAATGGATTGGAATGGAGTGGAGTGGAATGGAATGGAATGGAATGAAATGGAGTGGATTGGAGTGGAGTGCGATGGAGTAGAATGGAGTGAAAAGGAGTGGAGTGGAAAGGAGTGTAGTGGAATGAATTGGAGTGGAATGGATTTGAGTGGAATGGAATGGAAAGGAATGGAATGGAAAGGTATGGAATGGAATGTAGTGGAGTGGAGTGGGGTGGAGTTCAGTATAGTGGATCAGAGTGTCCTGCAATGGAATGATATGGAAAGGAGTGGAGTGGAGTGGAAGAGAGGGGAATGGGTTGGGATGGAATGGGGTTAAGTGGAATGGAATGGTATGGAAAAATATGGAATGGAATGGAATGGAATGGAATGGAATGGAAGAAAACGGAACAGAGTGGAGCGGACTGGAATGGACTGGAGTGTAAGAGAATGGAACGGTGTGGAATGGAATGGGACAGAACTGAACACAAGGGAAAGGATCGGAACACAGTGAAGTGGTGTACAGTGGAATTGAGTGCAGGATATCACACTGCAGTGGAATTGAATGTAATAAAAGTGAAAGGAATGGAGCAGAATGGAGTGGAGTGGCATGGAATGGAGTGGAGTGGAATGGAGTGGAGTAAAGTAGTGTGGATTGGAGTGGAGTGGTATGGAGTGGAGAGGAATTGACTGGAGTGGAGTCGAATGGACCAGAATGGAACCTAACGGAATGGAATGAAGTGGAGTGGAGTGGAGTTGAGAGGAGTGGATCAGAGTGAAGTGGAATGAAATGCAATTCAATGGAGTGGAGTGGAGGGGAGTGGATTGGTGAGGAGTGGAGTGGAATGGAGTGGAGTTAAGTGGATTGTAGTGTAGAGGAGAGGAATGGAGTGGAATGGAGTGGAATTGAAAGGAGTGGTGTGGAATTGAATGGAATGGACCGGAAAGGAAGGGCATGCGATGAAATGGAATGGAATGGAATGGAATGGAATGGAATGGAATGGAATGGAATGGAATGGAACGAAACGGAGTGGAGTGGAGTGGAGTGGAGTTGAGAGGAGTTGAGTGGAGTATATCAGAATGCAGTGGAAACGGAATGGAATGGAATGTAATAGTGAAATGAAATGTGAGTGAAGATTTTGCAACTGCAATCGAATCTGCATGACAGAGTGAGATTCCATTGGAATGGAGGGGAATGGAATGGAGAGGAGTGGAATTTAATGGAATGGTATGGAATGGAATGGTACGGAATGTAATATAATGGAATTCAATGGGATGGAATGGAATGGAGTTCAGTGAAATGGAATTGAGTGGTGTGGGGGGAGAGGAGTGGAGTGGAGTTTAGTGGAGTGGAATGGAGTAGAGTGGAAAGAAATGGAATGGAATGGAATCGAATTGTGAAATGAAATTTTAGCCAGGATTGTGACACTGCACTCCAGTCTGGAAGACAGAATGAGGTCAAGTAGAAATAAAGAAATGGATTGGAAAGGAGTAGAAGGGAAAGGAGTGGAGTGGAGTGGAAACGAATTGAGTGGAATGGAGTGGAGGGGAGTGGAATGATGTGGAGTTCAATGGAGTGGAGTGGATTGGAGTGACAAGGAGAGTAATGGAATGGAATGGAGTGAAATGGAATGGACTGGAGTGGAGAGGATTTGAGTGGAGTGGAATGCAGTGCAATGGAGTGGAGTGGAATGGAGGGGAGTGGAAGGGATTGGACTGGAAAGGAACGGAATGAAACAGAATGGAACAGAACTTAACGGAATGGAACTGAGTAGAGTGGAGTGGAGTGGATATGAATGGAGTCGACTGGAGTCCATTGGAATGGAATAGAATGCAGTGGAGTGGACTGGATTTGAGTGGATTGGAGTCGAATGGAGTGGAGTGGATTTAATAGGAATGCAGGGCAATAGAGGGGAATGGAATGGAATGGAGTGGCATGGAATGGAATGAAATGGAATGGAATTGAATAGAACGGAAGAAAATGGAATGGAATGGAACAGAATAGAGTGGACTGGAGTGGAGCGAATTTGAGTGGATTGGAACAGAATGCAGTTAAATTGGATGGAAGGGAATGGAATGCAATGCAATGGAATAAAATGGAATCGAATGTAATGGAGAGGAGTGGAATGGAATTGAGTGCAGTGGAGTGGACTGGGTTATAGTGTAGTGGAGTGGAGTGGAATGGAGACTAATGGGATGGAATGGGGTAGAATGGAATGGAATGGAGTGGAATGGAATGAATGGAGTCGAGTGGAATGGAATGGAGTGAACTGGAATGGAGTAGAGAGGAATGGTAATGAATAGAGTGGAATGTAATGAAGTGGAGTGTAACGGAATGGAGGGGAATGAAGTGGAATGGAATGGAGAGTAGTGGATAGGAATGGAATGGAATGAAATGGAATGGAACAGACTGCAAAGGACGGGAGTGGAGTGGAGCAAAGTTGAGTGGAGTGGATCAGATTGCAGTGGATTGGAATAGAATGCAAAGGAAGAGAGTGGAGTGGAGTGGAATGGAATGCATTGGAATGGAGTGGAATGGAATGGAGTGAAATCGAAAGGAATAGAATGGAAAGGAATGAAATGGAATGGATCAAAAGGCAATGGAAGAAAACGGAACCTAGCAGAATGTAGTGGAGTGGAGTTGAGTGGAGTGCCTGGAGTGCAGTGGAATGGAATGGAAATGAACGTAATGGAATGAAATGGAGGGGATTGGAATGGAATGGATGGAAATGGAATGGAATGGAAAGGAGTGGAGTGGCATGGAGTGTAGAGGACTGGATTGGAATGGAGTGAAATGGACTGCAGTGGAATGGAATGGAGTGGAAAGGAACAGAACAGAACGGAAAGTAATGGAATGGTACAGAGAGGAGTGGAGAGGAGTGGAGTGGAGACGAGTGGAGTGGATTGGAATGCAGTGAAATGGAATGGAATGGAAAGGAATTGAGCGGAGTAGAGTGGAGTGGAAATCAGTGGAATAGAGTGGAGTGGAGTGTAAAGTACAGGAATGGAATGCAGTGGAGTTGAATGGATAGGAATAGAATGGAAATTAGTGGAACGGAATGGAATGGAATGGAATGGAAAGAAAGGGAATGAGTGCAATGGATTGGAATGGAGTGGAGTTGAGTGCAGTGGATTTGAGTTGAGTGGATCAGAGTGCAGTGGAATTAAAAGGAATGGAAAGGAGTGGAGTAGAGTGGAGTGCAGTGGAGTGAAGAGGAATGGAGTTGAATGGAGTGGAAATCAGTGGAATGGAATAGTGTGGAGTGGAATGGAATCGAATCGAATAGAACAGAGCAATGTGGAGTTGAGTGGAGGGGAGTTTAATAGAGTAGATCGGAGTGCAGTGGATTGGAATGGAATGGAGTGGATTAGAATGGAATTGTATGGAATGGAATAAAATGGAATGGAATGGAGAGGAGTGGAGTGAAGTGGACTGTAGTGGAGTGGAATGGAGTGGATTGGAGTGGAATGGAGTGGAATGTAGCGGAATGAAATGGAAGGGAGTGGAATTGAATAAAATGAAGTGGAAACGATGGTAATGGAAAGGATAGGAATGGAATGGAATGGAGTGGAATGGAATGGAATGCAATGGAAGGAAATGCAATGGAATGGAATGGAATGGAATGGAATGCAATGGAATGGAATGGAATGGAATGCAATGGAATGGAATGGAATGGAATGGAATGGAATGGAATGCAATGGAATGGAATGGAATGGGGTGGAGTGATTGTTTGGAGTGGAGTGTAAACTAATGGAGTGGAGTGGAACGGAGTGAAGGTGACTGGAATGAAGTGAAATGGAGTGCAGTGGAATGGAGAGGAACGTAATCGGATGTAATGGAATGTAGTGGAGTGGAATGCAGTGGAACAGAAGGGAATGGAATTTAAAGTAAAAGAAAGGAACTGAACGGAACAGAGTGGAGTTGAGTAGAGTTGTGTGCTGTTGACTGGAATGTATCTGAGTGCAGAAGAATGGAATGGATTGGAGTGGAGTGGAAAGGAAGTTAATGGAATGTAATAAAATGGAATGGAATGGAATGGACAGGAGTGGATTGGAGTGGAATGGAGTGTACTGGAGTGGAATGGGGTGGACTGGAATGTCGTGGATAGTGGTGGAGTGGAGTCCAGTGGATTGAAATGAAAGTAATGGAATGGAATCGGGTGGAATGGCATGGTATGGAGTGGAATGAAAAGGAACAGAGTGGATTGGAATAGAATGGAATGAAGTGGAGTGGAGTGGTGTGGAGTGCATTGCAGTGATAAGGAAGGGAATGGAATGGGATGGATTTGAATGAAGTGGAGTGGAGTGCAGTGGAGTGGAGAGGAGTGGAATGGAGTTCAATGGAATCGAATATAAGGGAATGTAGTGGACTGGAGTGGAAAGAAATGGAACGGAATGGAACAGAACGGCATGGAACCGAATGGAACGGCATGGAGTGGTGTGGAGTGGAGCTGAGTGGAGTGGATCTGAGTGCAGAGGAATGGAATGGAATGGAATGGAATGGAATGGAGTAGAAAGGAGTGGATTGGAATGGAGTGGAATGGAGTGTAGTGCAGTGGAATGGAGTGACAAGCAGTGGAATAAAATGGAATGGAGTGGAATTGAAAGGAATGGAGTGGAATGGAGTGGAGTGGAGTTGATTGGAATGGAGTGGAATCTAATGAAACGGAATGTAATGGAATGATGAAATGTAATGTGACCTAAGATTGTGCCACTGCACTCTTCTCTGGGTGACGAAGTGAGATCTAGTTGAAATATTCGAATGGAATGGAATGGAAAGAAGTAGAATGCAATGGAATGAAGTGGAGTGGAATGGAGTGTAGTGCAGTGGAATGGAGTGACAAGAAGTGGAAAAAAAATGGAATGGAGTGGAATT
>NC_000024.10:10855135-10871218 GCF_000001405.40 Homo sapiens | reverse complement strand
TGAAGTGGAGTGGAATGGAGTGTAGTGCAGTGGAATGGAGTGACAAGAAGTGGAAAAAAATGGAATGGAGTGGAATTGAATGGAATGGAGTGGAATGGAGTGCAGTGGAGTGTAATGGAGTGGAGTGCAAAGGAGTGGAGTGGAATGGAGTAGCATGGAGTGAAATGGAATGGAATGGAATGGAGTACAATGCAAAGAAATTGAATGGAGAAGAATGGAATGGAATGGAATGGAGTGGAATGGAATGTAGTGGAGTGGAGTGCATTACATTGTAGAGAAGTGGAATGGATTGGACTTGAGTGAAATGGAGTGGAGTGGAGTGGTGTGGAATCAAAAGGAATGGAGTTGAATGAAATGAAATGGAACAGAATGGAATGGAATGGAATGGAATGGAGTGGAGTGCAGTGATGTTGAATGAAGTGGATTCGAGTGTAGTGGAATGGAATGGAACGGAAAGGAGAGGAGTGGAGTGGACTGGAGTGGAGTGTCGTGGAATGAAGTGGAATGAAATGGAGTCGGGTTAAACGGAATGGAAAAGAATGGAATGAAATGGAATGGAAAGGAATGGAATAGAAAGGAATGGAATGGAATGGAGTGGAGTGGAGTTGAGTGGAGTGAATCAAAGTGCAGTGGAATGGAACGTAATTAAATGAAAATTAATGGATTAGAATGGAACAGAGTTTAGAGGAGTGGAATGGAATGGAGTGGAGTCGAGTGTAGTGGAATGGAGTGGAATGGAATGGACTGGAGCTGGGTCAAATGGAATGGAGTGGAATGGAGTGGAGTGGAATGGAGTGGAATGGAATGGAGTGGAATTGAATGGAGTGGAATTTTGTAGAATGGACAGGAATGAGGTGGAATGAAGTGCAATGGAATGGAGTGGAGTAGACTGGCATGGTATGGAATGGAGTGGAATGAAATGGAATGGAATGGAGCAGAATGGAATGAAATGGAGTGGAGTGGAGAGAAGCGGAGTGTTGTTGATTGGAGTGGATCAGAATGTAGTGGAATGCAATGGCATAGAATTGAGTGGAGCGAAGTGTAGTGGAAAGGAGACGAATGCAGTGGAATGGAATGGAATGGCTTGAAATGGAAAGGAATGGAACAGAATGGAAGGGAATAGAAGGGAATGGAATAGACCAGAACAGAACAGAATGGCATGGAGTGGAGTTGAGTGGGGTGGATCAGAGGGCAGTGGAATGGAATGGAGTGCAATGGAATGGAATGGAATGGAATGGAATGGAATGGAATGGGATGGAATGGAATGGAATGGAATGGAATGGAAAGAAAAGGAATGAAAAGGTATACAATGCAGTGGAGTGCAGTGTAGTAGAGTGGAGTGTAATGGAATGGAATGGAATGGTGAAATGAAATGTGAGCTAATATCGTGCCACTGCACTCCAGTCTAGGTGACAGAAAAAGATCCAATCAAAATAAAGTAATACAATGGAATGAAGTAGAATGGAATTAAATGGATTGGAGTGGAATGGAATGGAGTAGAATGGAGTGAAGTGGAGTGGAATGGTGTGGAGGTCAATGGAGTGCAGTGGAATGGAGTGAAATGGACTAGAATAGAATGGAGTGGAGTGGTGTGGAATGGATTTGAATGGAGTGGAGTGGAAAGCAGTGGACAGCAATGGCGTGGAGTGGAATAGTGTGGAGTGGAGTGGAATAGTGTGGACTGGAGTAGAATGGAATGGAGTGCAAAGGAATGGAATGGAGTGGAATGTAATGGAGTGAAACCAAATGGAATGGAATGGAACAGAGTGGAATGTAAAAGAATGGAACGTGTTGGAGTAGAGTGGAGGGGATTGGAGTTGAGTGGTGTGGATCAGAGTGCAGAGGAATAGAGTGGAATGGAATGGAATGGAATGGAGTGGAGTGGAGTTGAGCGGAATGGAATCGAGGGGAGTGGAGTGGAGAGGAATGGAATATTTTGGAATGTAATGGAATGGAATGCATTGGTGAAATTAAATGTGAGCTACGATTGTGACACTGTACTCCAGTCTAGGTGATGGAGTGAGGTCAAGCCAAAATAAATGAAAGGAAAGGAATGGAATGGGGTAGAACACACTGGAATGGAGTGGAGTGTAAGGGAATGGAGTGGAGTGTAAGGGAATGGAATGGAGTGGAGTGGAATGGATTGTAGTGGAATGGAGTGAAATAGAGTGGGATGGAATGGAATGGAGTGGAGTGGAATGGAATGGAATGGATTAGAGTGGACTGGAGTGGAATGGAATGGAATGGAGTGGAATGTAAGGTAATGGAAAGGAAAGGAATGGGATGAAATGGAATGAATCGGAATGGAATGGAATGGAATGGAATGGAATGGAATGGAATAGAATGGAATGGAATGGAGAGGAATAGAGTGGAGTGGAGTTGAGTGAAGTGGATTGGAGTTCAGTGGAATGAAAAGGAATTGAATGGAATGGAATGGAGTGAAGTGGAATGGAATGGAATGGAGTGGAATGGAATGGAATTTTGAAATGAAATGCAACCTAAGAGTGTGCCACTACACTCCAGTCTGTGTGAAAGAGTGAGTAGAAATTAAGCAGTGAAATGGAGTGGAGTAGAAAAGAAAGGAATGGAGAGGAATGGAATGAAACGGAATGGAGGGTAGTGGAATGAAAGGGAGTCAAATCGAATGGAGTGCAGTGGAGTGGAGAGGAGTGGAATGGAATGGAATGGAGTGAAAAGGAGTGGAGTGGAATGGAGTGGAGAGGAAGGGAATGGAGTGGAATTAAACGGAACAGAACCGAATGAAATGCAAGGGAACACATTGGAACTGTGGAGTGGAGTGGAGTGGAGTGGAGTGGAGTGGAGTGGAGTGGAGTGGAATGCATTTGAGTGGAGTTGACTGGAGTGCAGTGGAATGGAATGGAATTGAATGCAGTGGAGTGGAGTGGAAAGGAATGGAGTGGAATGCAGTGGAATGGAATGTTGTGGTTTGGAATTGCATGGAATGGAGCGGAATTCAATGGAATGGAATGGAATGGAATGGAAAGGAACATAGTGGAGTGCATAGGAGTGGTGTGGAGTTGACTGGAGTCGATGGCAGTGCAGTGGAATGGAATGGAATAGAATGGAATGGAGTGGAATGGAATGGAATGGAATGGAGTGGAGTGGAGGGGAATGGACGGGAATGGAGTGGAGTGGAGGGGAATGGACGGGAATGGAGTGGAATGGATGGAGTGGATTGGAATGGAATGGAATGGAATGGAATGGAATGGAATGGAATGAAACGGAATTAAATGGAATGGAACAGAATGGATTGGATTGGAGTGGAGTGGAGACGAAGGGAGTGGATTGGAGTGCAGTGGAATGAAATGGAAGAAAATGGAATGGAATGGAGTGTTGTCACATTGTGTGGAGTGGAGTGAAGTTGATTGGAATGTCGTGGAATCTAAAGAAATGGAATGTAATGGAATGACGAAATGTACTGTGAGATAAGATTGTGCCACTGCATTCCACTCTGGGTGATGGAGTGAGTTCAAGTCGAAATAATGGAAAGGAATGGAATGAAAAGGAGTAGAATGCAACGGAATGGAGGGGAGTGGAATGGAGTGTAGTGGAATGGAATGGAGTGACAAGGAGTGAAATTAAATGGAATTGAGTGGAATTGAATGGAATGGAGTGGAGTGGAGTGGAGTTGATTGGAATGGAGTGGAATCTAATGAAATGGAAGTACCAGAATGATGAAAGGTAATGTGAGCTAAGATTGTGAAACTGCACTCCACTCTGGGTGACAGAGTTAGATCTAGTCGAAATAATGGAATGGAATGGAATGGAAAGGAGTAGAATGCAATGGAATGGAGTGCAGTGAAATGGAGTATAGTGGAGTGGAATGGAGTGACAAGAAGTGGAATAAAATGGAACGGAGTGGAATTGAATGGAATGGAGTAGAGTAGAGTGGAATGGAGTGGAGTGCAATGGAGTGGAGTGGAATAGAGTAGCATGGAGTGAAATGCAATGTAATGGAATGGAGTAGAATGGAAAGGAATGGAGAGGAATGAAATGGAGTGGAGTAGAGTGCATTGTATTGCAGTGAAGTGGAATAGAGTGGAATGGAGTGGATTGGAGTGGAGTGGAATCAAAAGGAATGGAGTTAAACGAAATGAAATAGAACGAAATGGAACGGAATGGAATGGAGTGAAGTGGTGTGGTATTGAGTGAAGTGGATTTGAGTGCAGTGGAACGGAATGGAATGAAATGGAAAGGACAGGAGTGGAGTGGAGTGGAGTGTGGTGGAATGCAGTGGGATGAAATGAAGTAGGGTGGAATGGAATGGAATAGAACGAAATGGAATGGAACGGAGTGGAGTGGAGTGGAGTTGAGTGGAGTGTATCAACATGCAGTGGAATGGAATG
Organism: Homo sapiens; assembly: GCF_000001405.40. Taxonomy (NCBI): domain Eukaryota; kingdom Metazoa; phylum Chordata; class Mammalia; order Primates; family Hominidae; genus Homo; species Homo sapiens. Next base: position 10,866,851 of record NC_000024.10, on the reverse strand, counting down.
TCATGAAATGGAAATTAATGGATTGAAATGGAAGGGAGTTTAGAGGAGTGGAATGGAACGGAGTGGAGTGGAGTCGAGTGTAGTGGAATTGAGTGGAATGGAATGGATTAGAGTGGTGTCGAATGGAATGGAGTGGAATTGACTGGAGTGGAATGGAGTGGAATGGAATGGAGAGGAATGGTGTAGAATGGAGAGAAATGAGGTGGAATGAAGTGTAATGGAACAGAGTGGAATAGAGTGGAGAGGGTGGGAATGGAGTGGGATCGAATGGAACATAATGGAATTGAATGCAAGGGAATGCAATAGAACAGAGTGGAGTGGAGTGGAATGTAGTTGAGTGGAGTGGATTGGAGTGCAGTGGAAAGGAATGGAATTGAATGGAGTGGAGTGGAGTGGAATGAAATGAACGGGAATGGATTGGAATGGAATGAAGTGGTTTGGAATGGCATGGAATGGAAAGGAATTCAATGGAATTGAATGGAATGGAATGGAACGGAACATAGTGGAGTGGATTGGAGTGGTGTGGAGTTGACTGGAGTGGATGGGAATTCAGTGGAATGGAATGGAATGGAATGGAATGGAGTGGAATGGAATGGAATGGAATGGAATGGAAGGGAGTGGTGTGGAATGGAAGAAAATGGAATTGAATAAAATGGAAAGAAATGGAGAGGAGTAGAGTGGAGTAGACTGGAATGGTTTGGAGTGTAGTGGAGTGGATTGGAGTGGATTGGAGTGGAGTGGAGTGGAATGGAGAGGAATGGAATTGGGTGGAATGGAATGGAATGGAATGGAGTGGAATGGAAGGGAATGGAGTGGAGTGGAATGGAATGGAAAGGAATGAAATGGAATGGAAAGGAATGGAATGGAATGGAAGAGAAAGGAATGGAATGGATCCGAATGGAAAGGAGCAGAATGCAAAGGAGAAGAGTGAAATGCAGTGGAGTGGAGTTGAATTTTTGGATCGGACTTCACTGGAATGGATTTTAAAGGAATGGAATGGAATGGAGTGGAGTGGAGTGGAGTGGAGTGGAGTGGTCTGGAATGGAATGCGATGGAATGGAATGGAATACAATGGAAAGCAATGGAGTGCAACGGAATGGTGAAATGTAATGTGAGCTAATATTGTGCCACTGCACTCCATTCTGGAAGACAGTGTGAGATCAAGTCGAAATAAAGAATGGAATGGAATGGAAGAGAATGGAGCGGAATGGTGTGAGGTGGAAAGAAATAGAGGGGAATGCAGTGGAGCAGAATCGAATGGAATGGAGTGGATTGGAGTGGAGTGGATTGGAATGGAATCGAGTGGAGTGGATTGGAATGGAATCGAGTGGAGTGGAAAGGAATGGTGTGGAATAGAATGGAATAGAATGGAATGGAATGGAATGGAATGAAATGGAGTTTAATGGAATGGAATGGAATGGAATAGAACAGAGTTGAGTGTAACGGAGTGGAGTGGAATGAAGTGGAGAAGAATGGAGTAGAATGGAGTGGAATGAAATGGAATCGATTGTTGTGTAATGGAATGGAATAGAGTGGAATGGAATGGAGTTGAGTGGAGTGGAGTAAAATGGAGTGGAGTGAAATGGAGTGAAAAGGAGTAAAAAGGAATGGGTTGGAATTGAGTGGAGTGGAACGGAGTGGAGTGCAAAAGAACGGAACGGAAGAGTATGGAATGAAATAGAGTCGAGTGGAGTGGAGTTGAGTGTTATTTATCAGAATGCAGTGGAATAAAATGGAATGGAAAGGAATGAACTGGTGTGGGGTAGAATGGAGTGGAATGGTGTGAAACGGAATGGAGTGGAGTGGAGTAGAGTAAAGTTGAGTGGAGTGGATCGGAGTGCAGTGAAATGGAATGAATTGGAATGTAATGGAATGGAATGGATAGAAATGGAAAGGAACGGAACTAAACGGAGTGGATTGGTTTGGAATAGACTGGAGTGGATTGGAGTGCAGCGGAATGAAAAGGAATGAAAGGAATGGAAAGAAATGGAATGGAATGGAACAGAATGGAGCAGAATGGTGTGGGGTGGAATGGAATAGGGGGGAATGTAGTGTAGCAGAATGGAATGGAATGGAACAGATTGGAGTGGAGTGGATTGGATTGGAATGGAATCAAGTGGACTGGAAAGGAATGGTGTGGAATGGAATGGAATGAATGGAAAGGAATGGAATGGAATGGAATGGAATGGAATGGAATGCAATGGAATGGAATGGAGTTTAATGGAATGGAATTCAGTGGAACTGAGTGGAGTTGATTGAAATGGAGTGGAGTGGAATGGAGTGGAGAGGAATGGAGTAGAATGGAGTGGGATGATTTGGATTCGAATGTAGTGTAATGGAAAGTAATGGAGTGGAATGGAATGGAGTTGAGTGGAGTGGAGTAAAATGGAGTGGAGTGGAATGGAGAGGAAAGGAGTAAAATGAAATAGGATGGAATTGAGTGGAGTGGAATGGAGTGGAGTGCAAAAGAATGGAAAAGAAAGGAACGGAAAAGTACAGAATGGAATGGAGTGGAGTGGAGTGGAGTTGAGTATTTTTTATTGCAGTGCAGTGGAATAAAATGGAATGAAGTGGAATGGAGTGGAATGGAGTGAAAAGGTGTGCACTGAATGGAGTGGAGTGGAGTGAAGTTGAGTGGAGTGGATCAGACTGCAGTTAAATGGAATGGATTGGAATTTAGTGGAATTGAAAGGAAAGAAATGGAATGAAACAGAACCTAATGGAGTGGATTTGTTTGGAATTGAGTGTAGTCTATAGGAGTGCAGTGGAATGGAATGAAGGAATGCAAAAGAATGGAACGGAATGGAATGGAATGGCATGGATTCAAATGGAGTGGAATGGAAAGCAATGAAGTGGAGTTAAATGCAATGGAATGGAACGGAGTGCAGTGGAGTGGGGAGAAGTGCAGTAGAGTGGAGAGGATTGGAATGGAATGTAATGGAATGGAGTGGAGTGGAATGGAATGGAGTGGAAATGAATGAAATGGAATGGAGTGCAGTGGAGTGGAGGGGTCTGGAATAGAATGCAATGGAATGGAAAGGAATGGAATGGAATGGCATGGAATGGAATGGAGTGGAATGGAATGGAATGCAATGGAATGTTGAACTGTAATGTGAGCTATTATTGTGCCACTGTACTCCAGTCTGGGTGACAGAGTGAGACCCGGTCGAAATAAAGAATGGAATGGAATGGAATATAATGGAGCAGAATGGTGTGAGGTGGAATGGAACAGAGGGGAATGGAATGGAGTGGAGTGGAATGTAGTGGTTTGGAATGGAGTGGAGTGGAAAGCAGTGGACGTGGGTCGAGTGGAATGGAGTGAAATGGAATTTAATGGAATGGAGTGGAATGGAGTGGAATTGAGTGGAGTGGAGTGCAATATTATGGAGTGGAATGGAGTGGAGTGGTATTGAGTGGAATGGAAAGCAACCGAATGGAATGGAATGGAACAGAATGGAATGGAGTGGAGTGGATGGGAATGGAGTGGAGGTGAGTGGATTAGCTATTTGTGCAGTGGAATTTAATGGAATGGAATGAAGTATATTGGAGTGCAGTGGAGTGGAGTGCCGTGGAGTGGATTGGAGTGGAATGGAGTTGAACGGAGTGGAACGGAATAGAGTGTTGTGGAATGGAATGGAATGGAAAGGAATGGAATGGTCAGTAATGGATTGGAATGCGATGGAATGGTATGGAACGGAAAGGAACGGAATGGAGTGGAGTGGAGATGAGACGGGTGGATTGGAGTGCAGTAGAATGGAATGGAATGGAATGAAATGGAATGGAAGGGAATGGAATTGAATGGAATGGAGTGAAGGGATTTGACTGGAATGGAAAGGAATGGAATGGAGTGGAGTGGAGTGGAGTGGGGTGGAATGGAAATCAGAGGAGTGGAATGGAAAGGAGTGGAATGGAAGAGCACGAAATGGAAAGGATCAGAATGGCGTGTTGTGGCCTGGAGTGCAGTGGAGTTGCGTGGAGTGGATGGGAGTGCATTAGGATAGAATGAAAAGGAATGGAATGAAATGGAAATGCAAGTTGTGGAGTGGATTGAAATGGAGTGGAATAGAATGGAGTGGAGTTGAGTGGAGTGGATTGGAGTGGACTGGAAAGGAATGGAGTGGAGTGTAATGGAATGGGATGGAATGGAATGGAATGGTATTGTGAAAAGAAATGTGAGCTAAGATTGTTCTACTCCATTCCAGTCTTGGTGACAGAGTGAGATTTAGACGAAATAAAAGAATGGAATGGAATGGAGTAGAATGGAAAGGAATGAGGTGGAGGTTAACGGAATGGAGTCGAATGGAGTGGAGTGGAGTATAATGGATTGGAGAAGAATGGAGTGGAGTGGAATGGAGAGGAATGGAGTGTAATGGAATAGAAGGGAATGGAGTGGAATAGAATGGATTGAAGTGTAATGGAAGGGAGTGGAGTGGAGTGGAATGGAGTGGAGAGGAATGTAGTGGAATGGAGAGAAATGGAGTGGAGTGGAGTGGAGTGGAATAGAAGGGAGGGAAATGGATTGGAACTGAATGGAACGCAAGGGAATGGAATGGACTGGAGTGGAGTACAGTGGAGTGGAGTGGAGTGAAGTGGTATGGAGTAGAGTAGAATGGAGTCGAATGGGGTGAAATGGAGTGGAATGGAAGGCAGTGGAGTAGAATGGAAAGGAATGGAACTGAAGGGAAAGGAATGGAAGGGAATTGAATGGAAAGGAAGGGAACTGAATGCAGTGGAGTGGAATGGAGTTGAGTGGAATAGAAAGGAGTGCAGTGGAATGGAATGGAATGGAAGAAAATGGAATTGAATGGAATGGAGAGGTGTGTAACAGAGTGGAGTGGAGTGGAAAGTAGTGGAGTGGAGTGCACTGGAGTACAGTGGAATGGAATGGAATTTAGTACAGTGGAATGAAATGTAATGGAGTGGAATGGATTGAAATGGAGTGGAATGGAATGGAATTGACTGGAGTGGAGCGGAGTTGAGTGGAGTGGATCACAGTGCAGTGGAATGGAATGGAATGCAATGGAATGGAAAGGGATGGAATGGATTGGAATGAAACGGAGTGTAATGGAATGGAATAGAATGGAATGCAATGGAATGGAATGGAATGCTGAAATGAAATGTGAGCTGTGATTTTGCAACTGCACTCCAGCCTGTGGTACAGAGTGAGATCCTGTCGAAAGAAAATATTGAAAAGGAATGAAATGGAATGGAATGGAACCGAATGGAATGGAGTGGAAAGGAGTAGAATGGAATGGGATGGAAGGAAATGGAAAAGAGGAGAGTGGAGTAGATTGGAATGGAATGGAGTGGAGCAGAGTGGAAAGGAGTTGAAAGGAATGGAATGGAATGGCATGTAACCGAACGGAATGGAGTGGACTGGAATGCAATGGAGTGGAAATGATTGGAGTGGAGTGGAATGGAGCGGAATGGAATGGAATGGAATGGAATTGTGAAATAAAATGTGAGCAGAGATTGTGCCACTGCACTCCAGGTTGGGTGACAGAGGGAGATATTCTGAAAAGAAAGAAATGGAATGGAATGCAGTGGAATGGAATGGAATGGTATGCAATGGAGTGGACTGGAGTGGAGTGCAGTGGAGTGAGGTGGGGTGGAGTGGAATGGAGTGGAATGGAATGGGATGGAATGGAATGGAACGAAGTGGAGTGGAGTGTGGTGGAGTGCAGTTCAGTGGAAAGGAGCAGAATGGAATGGAATGAATTGGAATGGATTGGAGTTGAGTGCAGTGGTGTGGAGGGTAGTGTAATGCAGTGAAATGGAATTACATGTAATGGAATGTAGAGGAGTGGAGTGGAGTGGAAATGAACGGAATGGAATGGAACAGAGCAGAACAGAATGGAATGGAAAGGAGTGGACAGTAGTGAAGTTGAGAGGAGTTGATAGGAGTGCAGTGGAATGGAATGGAATGGCATGCAATGGAATGGAATGGAAAGGAATGTATTGGCGTAGAGTGGAGTGGACTGGAGTGGAGTGGAGTGGAATGGAGGGAAACGGAATGCAATGGAGTGGAATGGAGTGGAAGGGAATGGAACAGAATGGAATGGAATGGTATGGAATGGTATGGAACGGAATGAAAAGAAGTGGAGTGGAGAGGTGTAGAGTGGCGTTGACGGTAGTTGATAGGAGAGAAGTGATATGGAATGTAATGGAATGGAATGGAGTGGAGTGGAGTGGAATGGAATGGAGTGTATTTGAGACTAGTGGATTTTATTGGAATGGAGTGGAGTGGAATTGATTGGAATGGAGTGGAGTGAAGTGATGGAAAGGAATGGAATGTAATGTTGAAATGAAATGTGAGTTAACATTGTTCCACTGCAATCCAGTCTGGGTGACACAGTGAGTTCCAGCTGAAATAAAGAAAAGAAATGGAATGGAGAAGTGTGGAATTGAATGGAGTGGAGTTGAATGTAATGGAGTGCAATGGACTGGAGTAGAATGTATTTGAGTGCAATGGCGTGGAGTGGATTGGAATGGAGTGGAGAGGAATGGAGTGGAGTGGAATGTAGTGTAATGGAATGGAATGGAATATAGAGGAATGGAATGGAATGGAGTGGAATGGAACGGAATGGAGTGGAAAGGACTGGATTTGAGTGTAATGGAGTGGAGTGGAATGGAAAGAAACGGGGAGGAATGGAATAGAGTGAAGTGGAGTGGAGTAGACTGGAGAGGAGTGGAGTAGAATCGAGTGAAATGGAGAGGCGTGCAATGGCATTTAAAGAAATGGAATGGAGTGCAATGGAATAGAAAGGAGCGGAATGGAATGGAGCAGAATGGAATGGAGTGAAGTGGAGTGAAGTGGATTTGAGTGGAGTGGAGTGGATTTGAGTGGAATGGAATGGAGTGGAGTGGAGTGGAACGGAATGGAATGGAGTGGAATGGAATGGAATGTCATTGAATGGAATGCAATGGCATTGAATGGAGTGGAATGGCATGGAATGGAGTGGAGTGTAATGGAATGGAATGCATTGGAATGTAATTGAATGGCATGGAATGGAAAGTTGAAATGATAAGTAAGCTAATATTGTGCCACTGAACTCCAGTCTGGGTGACAGAATGAGAAGCAATCCAATCAAATAAAGGAATGGAATGGAGTAGAATGGAGTATAATGGAGTGGAGTGGATTGGAATCGAGTGGAGGTGAATGGAGTGGAGTGGAATGTAATGGAATGGAATAGAGTGGAATGGAGTGGAGTGGAGTGGAATGGAGTGGAGCGGAATGTAGTGGAATGGAATGGAATGTAGTGGAATGCAGTGCTATGGCCTGTAATGGAAAGGAATGGAGTGGAGTGGAATGGAATGAAATGGATTGGAATGGATTGGAGAGGAGTGGAGTGTATTGCAGAGGATCAGAGTCGAACGCAGTGGAATGGAGTGAAATGGACAGGAATGGAATGAAGTGGAGTGGAATGGAATGGAATTGAATGAAATTGAATGGAACGGACGGGAACAGAATGGAAAGGAAAGGCACAGAGTGCAGTGGGGAGGGGTGGAATGGAGTGAAATGGAGTGGAGTGAAGTGGAGTGGAGTGGAGTGGAATGGATTGGACTGGAATGGTATGTTGTGGAATGGAATGCAACAGAATGGAAAGGAACGGAATGGAACGGAGTGTAATGGAGTGGGGTGGATTAGAGTTTTGTGGAGTGGATCGGAGTGCAGTGGAATGGAATGGATTCGAGACGAGTGAAGTGGATTGGAGTGGAGTGGAGTGGAATGAAATGGAGTGGAATGGAAAGAAGTGGTGTGGAGTGGAATGGAATGGAATGGAATGGAAAGGAATGTAAAGTAATGGAACAAAACGGGGTGGAGATTAGTGTAGAGGAGTTGAGTGGAGTGGATCGGAGTGCAGTGGAATGCAATGAAATGGAATGGAACTGAATGGAATGGAGTGGAGTTTAGTGTATTGTAGTTGAGTGGAGTGGAGGGGAGTGGAGTGGAGTGAAGTGCAGTGTAGTGGAATGGATTGGAATGGAGTGGAATGGAATGGAGTGTAGCAGAATGGAATGGAATGGAAATGAATGGAAAAGAGTGGATCGGAATGGAGCGGAGTGGAGTTGAGTGGAGTGTATCAGAATGCAGTGTAATGGAATGGAAAGGAGTGGAGTGGAGTGGTGTGGAATCGATTGGAGTGGAATGGAATGGAATGGAAAGGAATGGTGAAATGAAATATTAACTAGTATTGTGCCACTTCACTACAGTCTGGGTGAAAGAGTGAGACACAGTCAAAATAAAGGAATGGAATTTAAAGGAATTTAGAAGAATCAAATGGAATGCAGTGGAGAGTAATGGAATGGAGTGGAATGGGGTGGAGTGTAGTAGAATGAATTGGAATGGAATGGAGTGGAGTGGAATGGAGTGGAAAGGAATGGAATGAAATGGAGTGGAATGGAATGGAATGGAGTGGAATGGAGTGGAAAAGAGGGTAATGCAGTGAATTGGAGTGGAGAGGAATTGAGTGGATTGAAAAGGAAGTGAGTGGAATGGAATGGAATGGAAGGGAATGGTACAGAATGGAATGGAGTGGAGTGTGGTAGGGTGGAGTTGAGTGGACGGGATTGGAGTGGAGTCGAAAGGAGTGGAATGGAATTGTGTGGATTGGAATGGATTGGAATGTAATGTAATGGAAAGGCATGGAATGCAGTGGAATGGAGTGGAGTGGACTGTAATGGAGTGGAGTTTAATGGAGTGGAATGGAGAGGAAAGGAAAGTAATGAAATGGAGTGGAATGGAATGGAATGGTGTGGAATGGAGTTTAGCGGAGGGTAATGGAGTGGAGTGGAATGCAGTAGAGTATAGTGTAGTGGAGTGGAGTGCAGTGGAACAGAGTGGAATGGAGTATAATGGCGTAAAATGCAGCATTGTGGAAAGGAGTTGAGTGTAATGCAGTGGAGTGGAATGGAACGGAATGGAAAGGAATGGAGTGGAATGGAGTGGAGTGGAATGAAGTGGAGTTGAGTGGACTGGAAAGGAGTGGAATGAAATTGAATGGAGTGGAATTTATTGCAATAGAAGGGAATAAAGGGGAATGGATTAGAGTGGAATGGAGTGTAGTGTAATGGAGTGGAATGGACTGGAAGGGAGTGGAGTGGAGAGGAGTGGAATGGAGTGGAGTGGAAGGGAATGCAGTGGAATATAGTGGAATGGAGAGGAATGGAATGCAAGAGAATGGAGGGAAAGGAATTGAATGGAATGGTGTGGGACGGAATGTAATGGAATGGAATGGAATGGAATGGTGAAAAGAAATGTGAACTAAGATTGTTCCACTGCACTCCAGTCTGGATGAAAGAGTGAGATCCAGTGTACACAACGGAATGTATTGGAATGGAATATAGTAGAATGGAATGGAATGAAGTGGAGGTGAATGCAATGGAGTGGGATGGGGTGGAGTGGGCTAGAATGGATTGGAGTGGAATGGAGTGGAGTGGAACGGATTTGAGTGGAATGGACAGTATTGGAGTGGAATGGAATGGATTGGAATGTAGTGGAATGCAGTGGAGTTGAATGGATGGGAAAGGAGTGAATAGGAGTGGAGTGGAATGGAGTGGAGTGGAAAGGAATGGAGTGGAATGGAACGGAAGGGAAGGGAATGGTACAGAATATAATGGAGTGGAGATGAGTGGAGTGGAGTGGATCTGAGTGCAGTTGAATGGAGTGTAATGAATGGAGTGTAATGAATGGAGTGTACAGGAGTGCAGTGGATTAGAGTGGATTGGAATGGAATGGAATTGTGAAATGAAATGAGAGTTAAGATTGTGCCACTGCACTCCAATCTGGGTGACAGAGACAGAACCAGTCGAAATAAAGGAAGGAAATGCAATGGAGAAAAATAGAATGGAATGGAGCAGAGTGGAATAGAATGGAGTGGAATAGAATCGAATGGAGTGGAATGGAATCGAATAGAGTGGAATGGAATTTTTTGGAGTGGCATGGAGTGCAATGGAGTGGAATGGAATGGATTGGTATGGAATGGAGTGGAAAGGAATGGAATGGAGTGGAAAAGAGTGGATTGGCATGGAATTGAGTGGAATGGAATGAATGGGAGTGGAGTGGAATGGAGGTGAATGTAATGGAATAGAGTGTAATGGAATGGAATGGAAGGGAACGGAATGGAATGGGATGGAGTGGAGTGGAGTTGAGTGGAGTGGATTAGAGTGCGGAAGAATGGAATGGAATGGAATGGAGAGGAGTAAAAGGATGAGGAGTGGAGTGGAGTGGAATGGAGTGGAATGGAATGAAGTTGAGTCTAATGGAATGGAGTGGAATGGACTTGAGTCTAATGGATTGGAAAGGAAGGGAATGGAATGGAATGGAATGGAACTGAGTGGAGTGGAGTTGAGTGGAGTGGATCGGAACGCAGTGGAAATAAAAGGAATGGTACGGAATGGAGTGGAGTGGAGCGTAATGGAATTGAATGGAATGGAATGGAATGGTGAAATGAAATGTGAGCTAATACTGTGCCACTTCACTCCATCTGGGTGACAGACTGCGATCCAGTAGAAATAAAGGAATAGAAAGGAATGAAGTAGAATGGAATGGAATGGAGTGCAGTGGAATAGAAGGGAGTGGAATGAAGTGTAGCGGAGTGGAATGGAGTGGACAGGAATGAAGTTGAGTGGAATGGAATGGAATGGAGTGAAATGAAATTGAATAAAGTACTGTTGAATGGAATTAAATGGAGTGGAATAGAGTGGAGTGGAGTGGAATGGAGTGGTGTGGAATGGAATGCAGTGGAATAGAGACGAATGGGGTGGAATCGAATGGAATGGAATGGAGTGTAGTGGAATGGAATGGAGAGGAATGGAATGGAGTGGAGTGGAGTTGTATTGAGTGAAACCAGTGGAGTGGAATGGAGTGGTGTGGATTTGAATGGAGTGGAACACAATGGAATGGAACAGAACGGAACTGAACAGAATGGAACAGTGTGGAGTGGAGTGGAGTCGAATGAACTGGAATGGAGTGGAATGGAATGGAAATGAGTGGACTGAAATGGAATAGAATGGAATGGAATGAAATGGAATGGAAAGGAAAAGAATGGAACAGAACGGAACAGAAAAGAGTGGAGTGGAGTGAAGTGGATTGGAGTGAAATGGAGTTCAGTGGAATGGAATGGAAAGGAGTGAAATGAAATGGAATCTAATGGAGTGGAATGGAAATGAATGGAAAGAATGGGAGGAGGAGCCAAGATGGCCGAATAGGAACAGCTCCGGTCTACAGCTCCCAGCGTGAGCAATGCAGAAGACGGGTGATTTCTGCATTTCCATCTGTGGTACCGGGTTCATCTCACTAGGGAGTGCCAGACAGTGGGCGCAGGCCAGTGTGTGTGCATACCGTGCGCGAGCCGAAGCAGGGCGAGGCATTGCCTCACCTGGGAAGTGCAAGGGGTCAGGGAGTTCCCTTTCCGAGTCAAAGAAAGGGGTGATGGACGCACCTGGAAAATCGGGTCACTCCCACCCGAATATTGCGCTTTTCAGACCGGCTTAAGAAACGGCGCACCACGAGACTATATCGCACACCTGGCTGAGAGGGTCCTACGCCCACGGAATCTCGCTGATTGCTAGCACAGCAGTCTGAGATCAAACTGCAAGGCGGCAACGAGGCTGGGGGAGGGGCGCCCGCCATTGTCCAGGCTTGCTTAGGTAAACAAAGCAGCAGGGAAGCTGGAACTGGATGGAGCCCACCACAGCTCAAGGAGGCCTGCCT
>NC_000024.10:10817292-10852900 GCF_000001405.40 Homo sapiens | reverse complement strand
GAATGGAATGGTGTAATGAAATCTATGCTGAGATTGTGCCACCACACTCCAGTCTGTGTAGCACAGTTGTATCAAGTAGAAATAACGGAATTTAAACGAATGGAATAGAGTGGAATGGAATGGAGTGGAGTGGAATGGAATGGAGAAGAATGGAGTTCAGTGGAGTGGAATGGAGTGGAGTGGAATGGAGTGGAGTAGAATGGAATGGAAAGGAGTTGAATGGAATGGAGTCTAATTGAACGGATTGGAGTGGAATTGAGTGGAGTGGAGTGGAATGGAGTTGAATGGAGTGAATTGGAGTGCAGTGTAAAGGAATGCAGTGGAATGGAATGGAGAGGAATGGAACGGAAAGGAAGGGAATGGAATGGAATGCAATGGAATGGATTGGAGAGGACTGGAGTGGAGTTGACTCAATTAGGTCAGAGGTCAGTGTAATGGAACGAAATGGAGTGTAGTGGAGTGCAGTTGAGTGGAGTGGTGTGAAGTGGAATGGAATGGAAAGGAATGGCAAGGAACTGAAAGGAGTGAAGTGGCCTGGAATGGAGTTGAGTGGAGTGGATCGCAGAGGAGTGAAATATAATGGGATGGAATGGAATGGATTAGAGTGGAATGGAGTGCAGTGGATTGGAGTGGAGTGAAGTGAAGTGGAGTCGAATGGAATGAAATGGAATGGAATGGAATGGTGAAATGAAATGTGAGCTAAGATTTAGCCACTGCAATCCAGTCTGGAAGACAGAGTGAGATCCTCTCAAAATGGAAGAATGGAACGAATGGAATACAATGGAATGGAATGGAGTTGAGTGGAATGCAATGGAGCGGAATCGATTGGAGTGGAAAGGAGACGAGTGAAGTGGAATGGAGTGCAGTGGAATGGAGTGGAATGGAGTGGACAGGAAAGGAGTGGAACGGAATGGAGTGGAATGGAATGGAGTGGAGTGGAGTGGAGTGTAATGGAGTGGAGTTGAATGGAGTGGATGGGAGTGGAAAAAAATTGAATGGAATGGAGTGGAACACAATTGACTGCAGTGGATTGGAGTGTAGTGGAACGGAATGGAATGGAATGGAATGGAATGGAATGGAATGGAATGGAAAGGAGTTCAGTGGGGTGGAATGGAGTGGAGTGGACTGGAATGAAATGTAGTAGCTTGGAGTGGAATGGAATGGAATAGAGGGGAATGGAATGGAATGGAATGGAATGAAAAGGAGTGGAGTTGAGTGGAGCAGAGTGGAATGGAGTGGAATTTTGTGAAATAGATTGGAGTGGAATGGAGTGGAAAGGAATGGAGAGGAATGGCATGGAACGGAATGGAACAGAATGGAATGGAACAGAGTATAGTGGACTGGAGTTGAGTGGAGGGGATTGGAGTGAGGTGGAATGGAATGAAATGGAATGGAATGCAGTATTGTGGTGTGGATTGGAGTGGAGTGGAATGGAATGGAATAGAGTGGAATGGAATGGAAAGCAAAGGAATGGAAAGGAAAGGAACGGAAAGGAATGGAACATAATAGAATGAAGTGCAGTGGCGTGGAATGGAGTGGATTTGAGTGGATTGGAGTTGAATGGAGTGGAGTTGATTGGAATGGAGTGGAGTGCAAAGGAGTGGAGTGGTATGGAATTTAATGGAAAGGAGTGGTATGGAGAGCAGCGCAGTTGAGCTGAGGGGAATGGAATTGAATGGAATGCAAAACAATAGAAAGGAATGGAATGGAATGGAATGCAGTGGAATGCTAAAATGAAATCTGAGCTAAGATTGTGCAACTGCATTCCAGTCTGCAGTGACAGAGTGAGAACCATTCAAAATAAAGGAATGGAATAGAATGGAGTAGAATGGAATGGAATGGAGTGGAGTGAAATGGAATGGAGTGGAATGGAGTGGATTGGAGTGCAATGGAGTGGAGTGGATTTGACAGGAGTGGAACGGAGTGGACTGGAGAGGAATAGAATGGAATGGAGATGTCTGGAATTGAATGGAATGCAGTGGAATGGAGCGGAGTGGAGAAGAATATAGTGGAGTTAAATGGAGTGGAATGGAGAGGAATTGAATGGAATAGAATGGATTGGAATGGAATGGAATGGTGTGGAATGGTGTGGAGTGGAGTGGAATGCACTGGAGTGGAAAGAAGTGAAGTTTAGTGGAGTTGAGTGGAGAGGAGTGGAATGGAATGGAATGGAGTGAAATGCAGCATAGTGGAATGGAGTGGAGTGGAATGGAATGGAAAGGAACAGAACAAATAGGAATGGAGTAGAGTGGAGTGGAGTTTAGTGGAATGGACCGGATAGCAATGGAATGGAATGGAATGGAATGGAATGGAATGGAATGGAATGGAATGGAATGGAATGGAATGGACTTTAGTGCAGTAGAGTGGAGTAGAATGGAGTAGAGTGGAGTGTAGTGGAATGAAGAAGAATGGAGTGGAATGGAATTGAGTGGAGTGGAATGGAATTGAGTGGAGTGGAATGGAACAGAACAGAAAGAATTTAATGGAATGGAATGAAATGGAACACAAAGGAACAGAGTGGAGTGGACTGGAGTTTAGAGGAGTGGATCAGAGTACAGGGGAAAGGAAAGGAATGGAGTGGAGTGGATTGGAATGGAATGGAATGGAATGCAAAGAAATGATGAAACGAAATTTGAACTATAATTATGCCAATGCAATTGTGTCCGGGTGACAGAGTGAGATCCAACCGAAATAAAGTAATAGAATGGAATGGAGTAGAATGGAAAGGAATAAAGTGGAGTGGAATTGAATGGAGGTAAATGGATCGGAGTGGAGTGGAAAGGAGTGGAGTGGAAAGGAGTGCAATTGAGTTGAATGGAATGGAATAGAGTGGAATAGAATGTCATGCGTGGAATGGAGTGGAGTGGGGTGGAATGGAGTGGAATGGAGTTAATTGGATAGGAGAGCAGTGGAGTGGAATGGAATTCAGTAATGTGGAATGTAACGGAACGGATGGGAATGGAACAGAATGGAAAGGAGTGTAGTGGTGAGCAGTGTAGTGGATTTCAGTGTAGTGGATCAGAGTGCAGGGGAATGGAAAGGAGTGGAATGGAATGGAATGGAATGGAATGGAATGGAATGAAATGTAAAGATAAAAAGAAATGTGAGATAAGATTGGGCCACTGCACTCCAGTCTGGGTGACAGAGTGAGATTCAGTCGAAATAAAGGAATGGAACAAAATGGAGCAGAATGGAATGTAGTGTAGTGTAGTGTAGTGTAGTGTAGTGTAGTGTAGTGTAGTGTAGTGTAGTGTAGTGTAGTGTTGTGTAGTGTAGTGTAGTGTAGTAGAGTGGAGTGGGATGGAGGGAAATGGTGTGAAACGGAGTGGAGTTGAAAAGAGTGTAGCAGAATGGAATGGAGTGTAATGGAATGGAACAAAATGAAATGGAACTGAACAGAATGTAAAAAAGTGGAGTGGAGTGGAGTAGACTGTATTGGATCAGAGTGCAATGGAATGGTAAAAGCAAATGTGAGCTAAAATTGTGCCACTGCACTCCAGTCTAGGAGACCCAGCGATATCCAGTTAAAATAAAGGAATGGAAGGGAATAGGGTAGAATGGAATGGAATGAAGTTGAGAGGAATGGAATGGAGTGCAATGGAGTGGAATGGATTGGGTGGGAGTCGAATGGATTGGAGTGGAATGGAGTGGAGTGGAATAGATTGTAATGGAGTAGAATGGAATGGAATGGAATGGAATGGAATACAGTGGAATGGAAAAGAATGGATGGGAATGGAGAGCAGTGGAGTGGAATGGAGTGGAGTGTAATGGAGTGGAATGGAGTGGATGGAATGGAGAGGAGTGGAGTGTACTCGAATAGAGGGGAAAGGAGTGCAATGGAATGGCATGGAGTGTAGTGGAGTGGACTGGAGTGGAGTTGAGTGGAGAGGATCAGAGTGCAGTTGGATGGAAAGCAATGAAACGGAATGGAGTGGAGTGGAATGGAGTGAAATGGAGTGGAATGGAGTGGAATAGAATAGAGTGGAGTGGAAAGGAATGGAATGGGATGGAACGGAATGGAATGGAACAAAACAGAGTGGAGAGGAGTGGATTTGATTGGAATGGAAAGGAATACAATACAATGGAATGGAATGCAGTGGAATGAAATGGACTGGAGTGGAGTGGAAGTGAATGGAATGCAATGGAATTGAGTGGAGTGGAGTGGAGTGAAGTGGAGTTTAGTTTAATGCAATGGAGCAGAGTGGAATGGAATGGCATCGAGTGAAATGGAATGGAATGGAATGGAACGGAATGGAATGAAATGGAAAGGAAAGCAATGATGTGGACTGGAGCTGAATGGAAAGGAGGGGAGTTGACTGGAATGGAATGTCGAGGATTGTAATGGAGGAGAATGGAGTGAAATGTAGTGGAGTGAGGTGGATTGGAGTGGAATGTAATGCACAGGAATGGCATTTAGTGGAATGGAGATGAATTGAGTGAATTGGAAAGGAATGGAATGGAGTGGAGAAGAATAGAATGGAGGGGGCTGGAGTGGAGAAGAGTGGAATGAAGTGGAGTGGATTGCAGTAGAGTGAAATGGAGTGGAGTGCCGTGAAATGGAATGGAATTGAATGGAGTGGAACGGAATGGAATGGAATATAGTGGAGTGGCGTGGAGTCTAATGAGGTGGAATGGAGTGGAATGGAATTAAATGAAGTGGAGGAGAATGGATTGGAGTGCAATGGAATGGAGTGGATTGGAACGGAATGGAACAGAACGATATGGAACCGAATGTCATGGAATGAAATACAGTGGAGTGGCATGGACTGGTGTGGAGTCAAGTGGAGGGGATAGGAGTGCTGTGGAATGGAATGGAATGGAATGGAACGGAATGGAATGGAATGGAATGGAATGCAATGAAATGGAATGGAATGGAAAGGAGTGGAGTGGAGCAGATTGGAGTGGAGTGCAGTAGAATGGAGTGGAATGGAGAAGAGTGGAGTGGAATGGAGTGGAATGGAATGGAAAGGAAATAAACAGAATGGAATGGAATGGAACAGAATGGAATGAAACAGATCAAAATGGACTGGAGTGGAGTGGAGTGGAGGGGAACGGAGTGGAATGGAATGGAGTGGAATGGAGTTAAAGGGAATGGAGTAGAATGGAGGGAAGGAGAATGGAATGGAGTGGAATTGAACAGAATGGAACGTAAAGGTATGGAATGGAATGGCACGGATGCGAATGGAGTGGAACGGTGAGGAGTGGTGTGGAGTCAAGTGGAGTGGATTGGAGTAATGTATAATGGAATGGAATGGAATGGAAACTAGTGGAGTGGAGTGGAGTGAAATGGAGTGGAAAAGACTGGAGTTGAGTGGAGTGGAATGGAATGGAATGGAAAGGAAAGGAGGGGAAAGGAATGGAATGGAGTTTAATGGAATGGAGAGGAGTGGAGTGGAGTGGAATGGAGTAGAATGGAGAGCAATGGAGTGAAACGGAATGGAGTGGAGTGGAATGGAATGGAATGGATTGGAATCCTGTGGCGTTGAGGGGAATTTTTCAGAGTGGAGTGAAGTAGAGTGGATTGGAATGGATTGGAGTAGGATGGAATGGAGTGGAATGGAGCGGAATGGAATGGAAAGATATGGAATGGAATGGAAAGTATGGTATGGAATGGAATTGAATGGAATTAAATGGAGTGGAGGTGAGTGGAGTGGAGTGAAATGGCGTGTAAAGAAATAGAGTGGAGTTTAAAGGAATGTAATCAAAGGGAATGCAATGGAATGGAACACAATGGAATGGAAAGTACCAGAACGGGCTGGAATGGAGTGGAGTGAAGTGGAATGGATAGGAATGGAGTGGAATGGAATGGAGTGGAATGGAGTGGAATGGAATGGAGTGGAGTGGAGTGAAGTGCAGTGGAGTGGAGTGGAATAGAGTGAAATGGTGAGAAATCTAGTGGATTAGAATGGAGTAGAGTGGAATGGAATGGATTTGAGTGGAGTGAAGTGGAGGGGAGTTGAGTGGAGTGGATCGGAGTGCAGTGGAATGGAGTGGAATGGAATGAAAAGGAATGGAATGGAGAGGAGTGGAATGAAATGGAATGGAAAGGTGAAATGGAATGTGAGCTAAGATTGTGCCACTGCACTCCAGTCTGGGTGACAGAGTCAGATTCAGTCGAAATTAAGAAATGGAATAGAATGGAACTGAATGGAATGGAGTGGAGTGGTTTGCAGCGGAGTGGAGTAGACAGTAGTGGAATCGACGGGAAACGAGTGAAATGGAGTGGAGTGGAATGGAGTGGAGTGGAATGAAATGGAGTGGAATGGAAAGGAATGGAACAGAAATGCGTGGAACGCACTGCAGTGGAGTGGGGTGGAGTGGTGTGGAGTCAAGTGGAGTGCATCGGAGTGCAGTGGAATGGAATGTAATAGAATGGAACGGAATGGAATGGAATGGAATGGAATGGAAAGGAGATGAGTGGAGTCCAGTGGAGTGGAATCAAATGGAATTGAGTGTAGTAGCGTGGAATGTAGTGGAATGAAATGAAGTGGAGTGGAGTGGAATGGAATTTAACTGAATGGAGTGGAGTGGATTGGAGTGCAGTGGAATGGAGAAGAAAGGAGTGCAATGGAGAAAAATGGAGTGGTGTGGAAAGGAGTGGGGTGGAAGGTAATGAAGTGAAATCGAGTGGAATGGAGTGGAATGAAATGGAATGGAAGGGAAGGGAATACTGTGTATTTGAAGGGAGTGGATAAAATTGGAATGAAATGGAGTTGAGTGGAATGGAGAAGAGAGGAATCGAATGGAGTGGAATGGAGTAAAATGGAATAGAATGGGTTGTAATCAAATGGAATTGAGTGAAGTGAAGTGGAGTGGAAAGGAGTGGAATGGAGTGGAATGGAATGGAATGGACTGGAATGGAACAGAATGGAGTGGAACGGATCTGAACGGACTGAAGTGGAGTGGTGTCGAAAGGAGTGGAGTGGAATGGATTGTAATGGAGTTTAAGGCAGTGGAGTAGAATGGAATGGAGTGGAATGGAATGGCGTGAAATGGAACGGAACGGAACGGAAGGTTATGGAACGAAATGGCACGGAACAGAAGGAAGTGGATTGGCGTGGAGTGGTGTGGAGTGAAGTGGATTGGATCGGAGTGCAGTGCAATGGAAAGTAAAGGAATGGAATGGAAAGGAATTGAATGGAATGGAGTGGAAAGGAATGGAATATAATGGAATGGAATGGAATGGAATGGAAGGGAATGGAATGGAATGGAATGGAATGGAATGGAATGGAAGGGAATGGAATGGAATGGAATGGAAAGGAATGGAATGGAATGGAAAGGTGAAATGAAACGTGAGCTAAGATTGTGCCACTGCACTCCAGTCTGGATGACAGAGTAAGATTCATTCGAAATAAAGGAATGGAATGAAATGCAGCTGAAAGGAATAAAATAGAGTGGAGTATAGTGGACTGGAGTGGATTAGAGAGGAGTGGAATCGAGGGGAATGGAGTGAAATGGCGTGGAGTGATAAAAAAGTGGACTGGAATTGAATGGAGTGGAATGGAACAGAACAGAATGCAACGGCAGGGAATGGTATGGAGTGGAGTGGCTTGGAGTGTTGTGGAGTCAAGAGGAGCAGATCAGAGTGAAGTGGAGAGGAATTGAATAGAATGCAATAAGTTGGAGTAGAGTGGAGTGTTATGGAGTGGAACGGGGTGAAATGGAGGGGAATTGAATGGAATGGAGTGAAGTGGAGTGGAGTGGAATGGAGTGGAAGGAAATGGAAAGAAATGGAACTGAGGGGAATGGAAAGGAGTGGAATTAAATGGAATGGATTGGAATGCAGTGGAGTGCTGTGGAATTGAGTAGAATGGAGTGCAATGGAGTGAAATGGACTGGAGTGGAATGGAGTGTAGTAGAATAAAAAGGAATGAAATGGAGTGGAATGGAGTGGAATGTAATGGACTGAAAGGCAATGTGGTGGAGTTGATGGGAGTGGATCAGAGTGGAGTGAAATGGAGTGGAGTTGAATGGAGTTGCGAGGAATGGAAAGGAGTGGAATGGAATGGAATGGATTGGAGTGGAGTGGAGTGGAATGGAATGGAGTGGAATATAATGGAATGGAATCGAACGGAATGGAATGGAATACAATGGAATGGAACGGATTGGAATGGACTGGAGTGGAATGGAGTGGATGGGAATGGAGTGGAGTGGAATGGAGTGGAATGGAAAGGAAAGGAATGGAATGGAAAGCAATGCTGTGGAGTTGAGGGTAGTGTATCACAGTGGAGTGAAATGGAGTGGAGTGGAATGGAATGGAATGGAGTGGAATGGAGTGGAATGGAATTTAATGAAATGGAATGGAATGGATTGGATTGCGGTGGAGTGGAGTGGAGTTGAATAGAGTGGATGGGAGTGTAGAGGAATGGACTGGAATGGAATGAAATTGAGTGGAATGGAATGGAGAGGAGTTCAATGGAATGGAGAGGAGTAGAGTGGAGTGGAGTCGAATGGAGTAGAATGGAGTGCAATGGAGTGAAACGGAGTGGAGTGCAATGCAGTGGAGTGGAATGTAGTAGAAATGAAATGGAGTGCAACGGAGTGGAATGCAATGGATAGAATGGAATGCTGTGGATTTGAGGGTAGCTTATAACAGTGGATTGAAATGGAGTGGAGTGGAACGGATAGGAGTGGAATGGAATGGAGTGGAATGGACTGGAATGGAATGGAATGGAATGGAATGGAATGGAGTAGAGTGGAGTAGAGTGGAGTGCAAAGGAGTGGAATGTAGTGGAATGGAATGGAGTGGAGAGGAATGGAATGGAATTGAACACAATGCAACAGAATGGAATGGATGGGAATGGACAGGAGTGGAATGGAGTGGAGTGGAATGGATTGGAGAGGAATGGACTGGAATGGAATGGAATGGAGTTAAAAGGAGTGGATTAGAATATAGTGGAGTGGAATCGAATGGATTGGAACGGATCAAAATGGAATGGAAAGGTATGAAATGGAATGGCACGGAATGGAATGGAGTGGAGTGGCGTGGAGTGTTGTGGAGACAAGTGGAGTATTTTAGAATGCAGTGGAATGGAATGGTATGGTATGGAATTGAATGTAATGGAATGGAAGAGAATGGAATGGAAAGGAGTGGAGTGGAGTGGAGAGGATTTAAATGAACTGGAGTGGAGTGGAGGAGTGGAGTGGAGTGGAATGGAGTGGAGTGCATTGGAATGAGTGGAATGGAATGGAGTGGATTGGAGTGGACTGGAATGGAATGGAGTGCAATGGAATGGAGTGGAGTTTAATGGAATGGAGTAGAGTGGAGTAGAGTCGAATGGAGTAGAATGGAATGCAACGGAATGACACGGAGTGGAGTGGAATGGAATGGATTGCAATTTAGTGGAATGAAATGGAGTGAAATGGAGTGGAATGGAAAGGAAAGGAATGGAATAGAATGGAATGGAATTCTGGGGAGTTGAGAGTAGTGTATAACAATGGAGTGAAATGGAGTGGAGTGGAACGGATAGGAGTGGAATGGAATGGAGTGGAATGGAGTGGAATGGAAGGAAATGAAATGGAATGGAATGGAGGGGATTGGGGTGAAGTGGAGTGGAGTGGTGTTGAATATAGCGGATGGGAATGCAGAGGAATGGAATGGAATGGAACGGAATGGAAACGAATGGAATTAAGTGGAATGGAATGGAGTGGATTTTAATGGAATGGAGTGGAATAGAGTGGAGTGGACTCGAATGGAGTAGAATGGGTTGTAATGGAGTGAAACGGAGTGGAGTGAAATGCAGCAGAGTCGAATGAAGTGGAAATGAAATGGAGTGGAATGGAGTGGAATGGAATGGAACGGAAAGGAATGCTGTGGATTTGAGGGTAGTGTATCACAGTGGATTGAAATAGAGTGGAGTGGAATGGATAGGAGTGGAATGGAATGGAGTGGAATGGATTGGAATTGAATGGAATGAAATGGAATGGAATAGAATGGAGTAGAGTGGAGTGGAGTGCAGAGGAGTAGAATGGAGTGGAATGGAATGGAGTTGAGGGGAATGGAATGGAACTGAAGAGAATGCAATGGAGTGGAACAGAATGGAATAGAATGGATGGGAATGGACTGGAGTGGAGTGGAGTCGAATGGAGTGGAGTAGAATGGTGAGGAATGGAGTGGAATGGAATGAAGTGGAATGTAGTGGAATGAAATTGAGTGGAGTGGAATGGAGTGAAGTTCAATGGAATGGAGAGGAACGGAGAGAAATCTAGTGGATTGGAATGGAGTGGAGTGGAATGCAATGGAATGGAATGGAATGGAAGAAAATGAAACGGAATGGAGTAGAATGGAAGGGAATGGAGTGGAGTGGATTGGAGTTGAGTAGAGTGGATGGGAGTGCAGAGGAATGGAATGGAATGGAATGGAATGGAATGGAATGGAATGGAATGGAATGGAATGGAATTGTGAAATGAAATGAGAGCTAAGATTGTGCCACCGCACTCCAGTCTGCGTGGAAGGGAGAGATTCGGTCGTAATAAAGGAATGGAATGGAATGGAGCTGAATGTAATTGAGTGGAGTGGAGGGCAGTGGAATGGGGTGGAGGGGATGAATTAGAGGGTAATGGAGTGAAATGGAGTGGAGTGGAATGGAAGGGAGTGGACGGGAATGCAGTGGAGTAGAATGGAATGGAATGGAAGGGAATGGCATTGAATGGAATGGAGTGGAGTGACGGACAGTGGTGTGGAGCCAAGTGGAGTGGAACAGAGTGCAGTGGAATAGAATGGAACGTAAAGGAGCTGAGTGGAGTGGAGAGCACTGGAGGGGAATGGAGTGGAAAAGAATAGAGTGGAGTGGATTGGAATGGAATGGAATGAAATGGAATGGAAAGCAATGGAGGGAATTTTAATGGAATGGAGTGGAGTGGAGTGGACTATATCGGATCGGAGTGCAATGGAATGGAATGGAGTGGAATGGAATGGAATGGAATGAAATGGAATGGAATGGAATGGAATGGAATGGAATGGAATGGAATGAAATGGAAAGGTGAAATGAAGTGTGAACTAATATTGTGACACTGCACTCCAGTCTGGGTAACAGAGTGAGATTCATTCGAAATAAAGGAATGGAATGGAATGGAGCTGAAAGGAATGAAATGGAGTGGAGTATAGTGGAGTGGATTGGATATGAGAGGAGGGGAATAGAGGGGAATGGAGTGAAATGGCGTGGATTGATAAAAAGTGGAGTGGAATTGAATGGAGTGGAATGGAACAGAACAGAATAGAACAGCCGGGATTGGTATGCAGTGAAGTTTCATGGAATGTTGTGGAGTCAACAGGAGTGGATCAGAGTGAAGTGGAGTGGAATGGAATGGAAGGGAATACAGTGGAGTGGACTGGAGTGTTGTGGAGTGGAATGTAGTGAAATGGAGGGGAATGGATTGGAATGGAGTGGAATGGAGTGGAGTGGAGTGGAATGAAATAGAAAGGAATGGAATTGAGGGAAATGGAAAGGAGTGGAATTAAATGGAATGGATTGGAATGCAGTGGAGTGGAGTGGAATCGAGTAGAATGGAGTGCAAGGGAGTAAAATGGACTGCAGTGGAATGGAGTGTAGTAGAATGTAAAGGAATGAAATGGAGTGAAATGGAGTGGAATGGAATGTGGTGGAGTTGACGGGAGTGGATCAGAGTGGAGTGAAATGGAGTGGATTTGAATGGAGTTGAGAGGAATGGAAAGGAGTGGAATGGAATGGAATGGATTGGGATGGAGTGGAGTGCAGTGGAATGAAGTGGAATGGAATGCAGTGGAGTAGAATGTGAAGGAATCGAAAGCAATGGAATGCAATGGAACAGAATGGAATGGAATGGATTGGAGTGGAGTGGAGTTGAATGGGGTGGAATGGAATGGAATGGAATGGAATGGAATGGAATGGAATGGAATGGAATGGAATGGAGTTAAAGGGAGTTGAGTGGAATGGAAGGGAGTGGAATGGAACAAAATGGAATGGAATGCTATTTAACGAAACGGCACGGAACGGAATGGAGTTGAGTGCTGTGGAGTGTTGTGGCGTAAAGTGGTGTGGACTGAAGTGCAGTGGAATGGAATAGAATGGAATGGATTGGAATGGAAAGGAATCAAATGGAATGGAACAGAATGGAATGGAAAGGAGTGGAGTGGAGTGGAGAGGAGTGAAATGAACTGGAGTGGAGTGTAGTGGAGAAGAGTGGAGTGGAATGGAGTGGAGTGCATTGGAATGTAGTGGAATGGAATGGAGTGGATTGGAGTGGACTGGAATGGAATGGGATGGAAAGGATTGAAACGGAATGGAGTGGAGTTTAATGGAATGGAGCGGAGTGGAGTCAAATGGAGTAGAAGGGAGTGCAATGGAGTGAAACGGAGTGGAGTGGAATGGAGAAGATTGGAATTTAGTGGTATGAAATGGAGTGGAATAGAAAGGAATGGAATGGAATGGAAAGGAATGCTGTGGAGATGAGGGTAGTGTATCACAGTGGAGTGAAATGGAGTGGAGTGGAATGGATAGGAGTGGAATGGAATGGAGTGGAATGGAATTTAATGAAAAGGAATGGAATGGATTGGATTGGGGTGTAGTGGAATTGAATAGAGTGGATGGGAGTTCAGAGGACTGGAATGGAATGGAATGGACAGGAATGGAATGGAATTGAGTGAAATGTAATGGAGTGGAGTTTAATGGAATGGAGAGGAGTAGAGTGGCCTGGAGTCGAATGAAGTAGAATGGAGTGCAGTGGAGTGAAACGGAGTGGAGTGCAATGCAGTGAAGTGGAATGTAGTGGAAATGAAATGGAGTGGAATGGAGCGGATTTGAATGGATGGAATGGAAAGCTGTGGATTTATGGGTAGTGTATGACAGTGGATTGGAATGGAGTGGAGTGGAATGGATAGGAGTGGAATGGAATGGAGTGGAATGGATAGGAGTGGAATGGAATGGAGTGGAATAGAATGGAGTGGAATGGAGTGTAATGGAATGGAATGAAATGGAATGGAATGGAATGGAGTAGAATGGAGTGGAGTGCAAAGGAGTGGAATGGAGTGGAATGGAATGGAGTGGAGGGGAGTGGAATGGATTTGAACAGAATGCAATGGAATGGAACAGAATGGAATGCAATGGACGGGAACGGACTGGAGTGGAATGGAGTGGAGTGGTATGGAGTGGAGTGGAATGGACTGGAATGGAATGGAATGGAGTTGAAGGGAGTGGAGGGGAATCGAATGGAGTAGAATGGAACAAA
The DNA here is from genome assembly GCF_000001405.40 of Homo sapiens. Classification (NCBI taxonomy): domain Eukaryota; kingdom Metazoa; phylum Chordata; class Mammalia; order Primates; family Hominidae; genus Homo; species Homo sapiens. The sequence continues at coordinate 10,839,694 of NC_000024.10, read as the reverse complement.
ATGGAATGGAACGGTATGGAAAGGAATGGCATGGAATGGAATGGAGTGGAGTGGTGTGGAGTGTTGTGGATTCAAGTGGAGTGGATTATAGTGCAGTGGAATGGAATGGAATGGAATGGAATGGAATGGAATGGAATGGAAAGCAGTGGAGTATAGTGGAGAGGAGTGAAATGAACCAGAGTAGAGTGTAGAGGAGAAGAGTGGAGTGAAGTGGAATGGAATGAAGTGTATTGGAATGGAGTGGAACGGAATGGAGTGGATTAGAGTGTACTGGAATGGAATGGAGTGCAACGAAATGGAGTGGAGTATAATGGAATGGAGTGGAATGGAGTGGAGTCGAATGGAGTACAATGGAGTGCAAAGGAGTGACACGGAGTGGAGTGGAACGGTAAGGATTGGAATTTAGTGGAATGAAATGGATTGGAAAGGAGTGGAACGGAAAGGAAAATAATAGAATGGAATGGAATTCTGGGTATTTGATGGTAGTGTATAACAGTGGAGTGAAATGGAATGGAGTGGAATGGATAGGAGTGGAATGGAATGGAATGAAATGGAATGGAATGGAGGGGATTGGGGTGGAGTGGAGTGCAGTGGAGTTGAATAGAGTGGATGGGACAGAGGAATGGAATGGAATGGAATGGAATGGAATGGAATGGAATGGAATGGAATGGAAGGGAATGGAATGGAATGGAATTGAGTGGAATATAATGGAGTGGAGTTTAATGGAATGGAGTGGAATAGAATGAAGTAGACTCGAATGGAGTAGAATGGAGTGCAATGGAGTGAAACGAAGTGGAGAGCAATGCAGTGGAGTAGGATGAAGTGGAAATGAAATGGAGTGGAATGGAGTGGAATGGCATGGAATGGAAAGGAATGTTGTGGAGTTGAGGGTAGTGTATCACAATGGATTGAAAAGGAGTGCAGTAGAAAGGATAGGAGTGGAAAGGAACAGAATGGAATGGAAAGGAGTGGAGTGGAGAGGAGTGAAATGAAATGGAGTGGAGTGGAGTGGAGAAGAGTGGAGTGTAGTGGAATGGAGTGGAGTGCATTGGAATGGAGTGGAATGGAATGGAGTCGATTGGAGTGGACTGGGATGGAATGGAGTGCAACGGAATGGAGAGGAGTTTAACGGAAAGGAGTGGAGTGGAGTGCAGTCGAATGGAGTAGAATGGAATGCAATGGAGTAACAGGGAGTGGAGTGGAATGGAACCGATTAGAATTTCGTGGAATGAAATGGAGCAGAAAGGAGTTTAATAGAAAGGAAAGGAATGGAATAGAATGTAATGGAATACTGGGGAGTTGAAGGTAGAGTATAACAGTGGAGTGAAATGGAGTGGAGAGGAATGGATAGGAGTGGAATGGAATGGAGTGGAATGGAATGGAATTAAATGGAATGGAATGGAGGGGATTGGGGTGGAGTGGAGTAGAGTGGATTGGAGTTGAATAGAGTGGATGGGAGTGCAGACAAATGGAATGGAATGGAATGGAATGGAATTGAGTGGAATGTAATGGAGTAGAGTTTAATGGAATGGAGTGGAATAGAGTGGAGTGGGCTCGAATGGAGTAGAATGGAGTGTAATGGAGTGAAACGGAGTGGAGTGCAATGCAGCAGAGTGGAATGAAGTGGAAATGAAATGGAGTGGAATTAAATGGAATGGAGAGGAATGCTGTGGATTTGAGGGTAGTGTATCACAGTGGATTGAAATGGACTGGAGTGGAATGGATAGGAGTGGAATGGATTGGTATGGAATGGAATGAAATGGTATGCAATGGAGGGGATTGGGGTGGAGTGCAGTGCAGTGGAGTTGAATAGACTGGATGGGACAAAGGAATGGAATGGAATGGAATGGAATGGAATGGAATGGAATGGAATGGAATGGAATGGATTGGAAGGGAATGGAATGGAATGGAATTGAGTGGAATATAATGGAGTGGAGTTTAATGGAATGGAGTGGAATAGAATGAAGAGAACTAGAATGGAGTAGCATGGAGTACAATGGAGTGAAACGAAGTGGAGTGCAATTCAGTACAGTGGAATGAAGTGGAAATGAAATGGAGTGGAATGGAATGGAATGTAAACGAATGTTGTGGAGTTGAGGGTAGTGTATCACAGTGGATTGAAAAGGAGTGCAGTGGAATGGATAGGAGTGGAATGGATCAGAATGGAATGGAAAGGAGAGGAGTGTAGAAGAGTGAAATGAACTGGAGTGGAGTGTAGTGGAGAAGAGTGGAGTATAGTGGAATGGAGTGGAGTGCATTGGAATGGAGTGGAATGGAATGGCGTTGAGGGAAATAGAATGGAACTGAACAGAATGCAATGGCATGGAACAGAATGGAATCGAATGGATGGGAAAGGACTGGAGTGGAGTGGAGTGGAGTGGAATGGAGTGGAGTGAAATGGTGTGGAATGGAGAGGAATGGAATCGAGTGGAATGTAGTGGAATGTAGAGGAATGAAATTGAGTGGAGTGGAATGGAGTGAAGCTTAATGGAATGGAGAGGAATGGAGAGAAATCTAGTGGATTGGAATGGAGTGGAGTGGAATGAAATGGAATGGAATGGAATGGAAGAGAATGAAACGGAATGGAGCGGAACGGAAGGGAGTGGAGTGGAGTGGATTGGAGTTGAGTGGAGTGGTTGGGAGTGCAGAGGAAAGGAATGGAATGGACTGGAATGGAATTGAATGGAATGGAATGGAATGGAGTGTAGTGGAGTGAAATGGAATGGAATAGAAAGGTGAAATGAAATGTGAGCTAAGACTGTGCCACTGCACTCCAGTCTGCCTAAAAGGGAGATATTCAGTCGTAATAAAGGAATGGAATGCAATGGAACTGAATGGAATGGAGTGGAGAGGAGGGCAGTGGAGTGGAGTGGAGGTGAGTGGAATCGAGGGGAATGGTGGGAAATGGAGTAGAGTGGAATAGAGTGGAGTGGAATGGAATGGAGTGGAATGGAAGGGAACAGAAGAGAATGGCACGAAATGGAATGGAGTGGAGTGGAGTGGCTAGCAGTGATGTGGAGTCAAGTGGAGTGGATCGCAGTGCAGTGGAATGAATGGAATGGAATGGAATGGAAAGGAAAGGAATGCAATGGAATGGAATGGAAAGGATTTGAGTGGAATGGAGTGGAGTGGATTGGAGTGGAGTGGAATGGAGTGGAATGGAATGGAGTCGATTGGAATGGAGTGGAATAGAATGGAGTGGAGTGGAGAGGAATGGAATGGAATGGAATGGAGAGGAATGCAATGCAGTGGAGTTTAATGGAATTGAGTGGAGTGGAGAGGAGTTGAGTGGCAGGGAGTGGAAAGAAGAGTGGAGTGCAATGAAGTCAAACGCAGTGGAGTGGAATGGAGTGGAGTTGAATGTAATGGAATGAAATGCATTTCAATGGATTGGAATGGAATGGACTGGAATGGAATGCTGTAAATATGAGGGAAGTGGATCAATGTGGCATGAAATGGTGTGGGGTGGAATTGATTGGAGACAAATGGAAAGGAGTGAAATGGGAAGGAAGTGAATGGAAAGGAACGGAATGGAATGGAGTGGATTGGGGTGGAGTGGATTGGAGTAGAAAGAGGTGGAATGGAATGGAGTGGAGTGGAATGGAATGGAATCCAAGAGAGAGGAATGGAATGGAACACAATGGAATGGAATATATCGGAATGGAATGCGGTGGAGTAGAGTGAAGTGGAATGGAATGGAGTGGAATAGAGTTTAAGGGAGTGCAGTAGCATGGAGAGGATAGGAATGGAATGGAGTGGAATGGAAAGGAACTGAACGGAAATTTATGGAATGGAACGCCACAGAATGTCAGGAATTGGAGTGGCTTGCCATGGTGTGGAATCAAGTGGAGTGGAATGCAGTGCACTGGAATGGAAAGGAATGGAATGCAATGGAGTGGAATGGAGTGGAGCGGAATGGAGTGGAAAGAAATGGAGTGGAGGGCAATGGAAAGGAATTGAATGGAATGCAATGGAATGGATCAGAATGGAATAGAATGGACCGGAATGTACTGGAGTGGAGAGGAGTGGAGTGGAATGGAGTGGAGTGGAAAATATTTCAGTGGATAGGAGTGCACGGAAATGGAGTTGAATGGAATGGAATGGAATGGAGTGGAGTGGAGTTGACTGGAATTAAATGCAATGGAATGGAATGGAATGGAATGGAATGGAATGGAATGGAATGGAATGGAATGGTGAAATGTAATGTGAGCAGAGATTGTGCTGCTGCACTCCAGTCTGGGTGACCTAGTGAGATCCAGTCAAATTAATGAATGCAATGGAATAGAATGGAGCAGAATGGTGTGGGTTGGAATGGAATTGAGGGGAATGGAGTGGAGTGGAGTGGAATGAAGTGGAGTGGAATGGAGTGGAGGGGAAAGGACTGAACTGCAGAGGAATGTAATGGAGTGGAATGCAAATTAATGGAACTCAGAGGAATGGAATGGAATTGATTGGATTTGAGTGAAGTGGAGTGGAGTGGAATGGTGTGGAGTGGAATGGAGTGGAGTGGAAAGGAATGGAAAGGTGCAGAATAGAATGAAATGGAATGGAGTTTAGTGGAATGAAATGTAGTCGAATAGAATGTAATGAAGTGGAGTGGAGACGAGTGGAGTGGAGATCAAGGGAGTGAAATGGAGTGGAGTGGAATGGAACGGAACGGATAGGAATGCAACGGAATGGAATGGAACAGAGTAGAGTGGAGTGGAGTGGAAAACAGTTGAGTGGAGTGGAATGGAGTGCAGTGGAATGGAATGGACGGGAATGGCATGGAATTGAGTCCAATGGAGTGGAGATGAGTGGAGTGGAGTGGAATGGAGTGGAACGGAGTGGACTGGAGTGGAATGGAATGGAGTGGTGTGGAATGCAATGGAATGTAATTTAATGGAAAGAAACGGACTGAAATGGCGTGTAGTGGATTGTAGTCCCGTGGAGTTTAGTGGAATTGATGGGAGTGCAGTGGAATTGAATGAAATGGAATGGAGTGAAGTGGAATGGAAGAAGGTGGAATGGAATAAATTGGAAAAGAATGGAGAGAAGAGGTGTGGAGTGGAGTGGAGTAGAATGGTTTGGAGTGGAGAGGATTTGGGTGGATTGCAGAGGAGTGGAGTAAAATGGAAAGGAATAGAATGGAATGGTGTGGAATGGAATGGAATGCAGTGGAATGGAATGGAATGTAGTGGAGTGGAAAGGAATGCAATGGAGTAGGACAGAGTGAATTGGAAAGGAATGGATTGGAATGGAATAGGAAGGAATGGAATGGAATGGAATGGAATGGAATGCAATTGAATGTAATGAAACAGAATAGAATGGAATGGAAACGAATGGAATGGAATAGAATTGAAAGGAGAAGAGTGGAATGGACTGGAGTGGAAATGAGTTTAGTGGATCGGAGTCCATGGAAATGGAGTTGAATGCAATGGAATGGAATGGAGTGGAGTGGAGAAGAGTGCAGTTCTCTGGAATGGAATGCAATGGAATGGAATTGAATGGAATGGAATGGAGTGGAGTGGAGTGGAATGGAATGGAATGAAATGGAATGCAATGCAATTGAATGGTGAAATGTAATGTGAGTTAAGATTGTGCCACTGCACTTCAGTCTGTGTGAAAGAGTGAGATCCAGTCGAAATAAAGAATGGATTGGAGTGGAATAGAATGGACTAGAATGGTGTTGGGTGGAATGGAATGGAGGGGAATGGAGTGGAGTGGAATATAGTGGAGTGGAATGGAATGAATTGGAAAGGAGTGTAACAGAGTGGAATGAAAATTAATGGAACTCAGTGGAATGGATGGAGTGAAATTGTGTGGAGTGGAATGCTGTGGAGTGCATTGGAGTGGAGTGGAATGAATTGGAATGGAATGGAATGGGAGTACAATGGAATGGAATGGAGTATATTGGAGTGGAGTGCAGTGGAGTGTAGTAGTATGGAGTGGAACGGAGTGAAACGGAAAGGATAGGAATGGAGTGTAGTGGAATCAAACAGAGTGGAATGAGATAGAACATAATAGAACAGAATGGAATGGAATGGAATAGAATGGAGTGCAGTGGAGTGGAGTTGAGTGGAGTGTTTCGGAGTGCAGTCAAAAGAAATGGAATGGAATGGAATGGAGTGAAGTGGACTGAATGGGAAGGAGTTGAGTGGAGTGGAGTGGAATGCAGTGGAGTGGAGTGGAATGGAGTGAAATGGAGTGGAGAGGAAAAGATTTGAGTGGAATGTAATGGAGTGGAATGGAGCAGAACCGAGTGGAATGGAAAGGAACCGAATGGAACAAACGGAAGGGAATGGAGTGGAATGGATTCGAGTGGAGTAGAGTTGGGTGGAGTGGATTGGAGTGCAGTAGAATTTCATGGAATGGAATAAAGTAGATTGGAGTGGAGTGCATTGGAGAGGAGTGCAGTGGAGTGGAATGGAGAGGAATGGAGTTCGATGGAGTGGAATGGAAGGGAGTGGATTGGAATGGAATTTCATGGAATGGAATGGATTGGAATGATATGGAATGTATGGAATGGAATGGAAAGGAGTGGAGTGGAGTCGAGTGGAGTGGATCTGAGTGCACTTTAATGGAATGGAATGGAATACAATGGAATGGAATGGAATGGAATGGAATGGAGTTGAGTGCAATGGAAGGGAGTGGAGTGGAGTGGAATGGAAAGGGGTGGAGTGGAAAGGAATGGAGTGGAATGGAATGGAATGGCATGGATTGGCGTGGAATGGAAGGGAATGAAATGGATTGTTGCAGGGTGTAATGCAGTGGAGTGGCATAGAGTGGGTCTGAGTGCAGGGCAATGGAATGGAAATGAATGGAATTCAGTGGAAATGAATGGATTGGAGAGGATTGGAGTGCAATGGAATGAAATGGAGTGTAGTTGAGTGGAGTGGAGTGAAGTGGGGTGGAGAGAAGTGTAAAGAAATGGAGTGGAGTGGAGTGGAATGGAATGAAATGGAATGGAAGCGTATTGTGAAACAAAATGTTAGGTAAGATTGTTCCACTGTATTCCAGTGTGGGTGACAGAGAGAGACGCAGTCGAAATAATGGAATGGAATAGAAAGGAATAGAATGGAATGGAATGGAGTTGTGTGGAATAGAATGGAGTCAAATGGAGTGGAGTGGAGAGGAATGGAGTGGAATGGAATAGAAGGGAATGGAGTGGAAGGGAATGGAATGGAGTGTATTGCAATGGAGTGGAGGGGAGTGGAATGGAGAGTAGTTGAATAGAGTGGAATGGAGAGAAATGGAGTGGAGAGGAATGGAGTGGAGTGGAATGGAAGGGAGTGGAATGGAATGGAACTGAATGGAATGGAAAGGAATGTAATGGAGTAGAGTGGAGTGGAGTGAAGTTGAGTGGATTTGTGTGTAATGGAGACGAACGGAGTGAAATGGAATGGAGTGCAATGAAATGGAAAGGAATGGAAGGGAATGGAAAATAATGAAAGTTAAAGGAAAGCAATGGAAGGGAACGGAGTGAAGTGGAGTGGAGTGGAGTAGATCGGAGTTCAGTGAAATTGAATCGAATGGAGTGGAGTGGAATGGAATGGAACTGAATAGAATAAAATGGAATCCAATGGAATGGAATGGAGAGGAGTGGAGTGGAGAGTAGTGGAGTTGAGTGGAATGGATTGGAGTGGGGTGGAGTGGAGTTGAATGGAATGGAGTACAGAGGAATGAAATGGAATGGAGTGGAATGGAATGAAATCGAGTGGAGTGGAATGGAATGGAATGGAATGAAATGGATGGGAATGGAATAGAAAGGAATGCAACGGAATGCAATGGAATGAAATGGAATGAAAAGGAAAGGAATAGAATGGAGTGGATTGGAATGGAATAGAGTGGTGTGGAATGTAATGGAGTGGAGTGGAATGGAGTACAACATAGTGAAATGGAGTGGAGTGGAGTGAAATGGAATGGAGTGGATTAGAGTCGTTTGAAGTGCAGTGGAGTGGAGTGGAATGCAGTGGACTTGTGTGAAATGCAGTAGATTGGAAGAAAGTGAAGTGCAGTGCAATGGAGTAGAATGGAACAGAACAGAACCAAACGGAATGTACCAGAATGGAAGGGAGTGGAGAGGAGTGGAGTGGAGTGGAATGGAGTGCAGAGGAATGGAATGGAAGTGAATGGAATGGAATGGAATGGAATGGAATGGAATGGAATGGAATGGAACGGAAAGTAACAGAGTGCAGTGGAGTCGAGTGGAATGGAGTGGAATGGAGTGAAATGGAGTGGAGTGGAAAGGCGTGGAGTGGAGTGCAATGGAGTGGACTGAAATGTAATGGAGTGGAATGGAATGTAACAAAATGGAACGGAATGGAATGGAACAGAGTGTAGTGGAGTGGATAAGAGTTGAGAAGAGTGGAACGGAGTGCAGTGGAGTGGAGTGGAATGCAATGGAGTGGAGTGGAGTGGATTGGAGTGGAGTGCAATTAAGTGGAATGGAATGGGATGGCATAGAATGGAATGGAAAAGAAAAAATGTAACGGAACGAAACGGGATGGAGTGGAGGGGAGACAAGTTGAGCGGAGAGGATCAGGATGCAGTGGAATGGAATGGAATGGAATGGAGTGAAGTTTAGTGTAGAGTAGAGTACTAGAGTGGAGTGGAGAGAAGTGAAGTGGAGTAGAATGGAGTGGAATGGAATGGAATGGAGAAAAGCGGAATGGAATGGAAAGGAACAAAACGGAATGGAAAAAATTGGAGTGGAGTGGAATTCAGTGGAGTGGATTGAAGTGCAGTGGAATGGAATGGAACGGAGTGGAGTGGAGAGGATTTTAGTGGAATGGAATGGAATGGAATGGAATGGAATGGAATGGAATTGTGAAATGAAATGTGAGGTAAGATTGTGCCACTTCACTCCAGTCTGGTACGAAGGATGAGACCAAGTCGAAATAAAATAATGGAATGAAATGGAACGTAGTAGAATTGAATGGAATGGAGTAGAGTGGAATGGAATGGAGCAGAATGTGGTGGAGTAGAGTAGAAAGTATTGGAATGGAATTTAGTGGAATGGAATGGAATGGAGTGGAAAAAATGGAATGGAATTTAGTTGAATGCAATGGAATGGAATGGAGTGGAGTGGAAAGGAGGTGAATGGAGTGAATTGGAGTGGAGAGGAATGGAATGGATTGGAAAGGAAGGGAGTGAAATGTAACAGAATGGAAGGTTACTGTATGGAATGGAAAGGAGTGGAGTTGAGTGAAGTTGACTGGAGTGGATCGCAGTGCAGTGGAAAGGAATTGAATGAAATTGAATGGAATGGAGTGGTGTAGCATTAAGGGAAGTGGAGTGGAGTGGATTGGAGTTGAGTTTAGTTGATTGGAATGTAATGGAAGGGAATTAAATGGAATTGAATGGAATTAGGAAATGACATGTGACCTAAGATAGTGAAACTGCACTCCGGTCTGGGTGACAGAGTGAGATCCAGTCGAAATAGGGGAATAGAAAGGAATGGAGTATCCTGAAATTGAATGGAGTGGAGTGGATTGCAATAGAGTGGAATAGAGTGGACTGAAGTGCAATGGAGTGGAGTGGAATGAAATGTAGTGGAATGGAGGAGAAGGGAGTGGAATGGAATGAACTGGAGTAGAATTGAATGGAATGGAGTGGAATGGAGTGCAATGGACTGCAGTGGAGTGGAATGCAGTGGAATAGAGTGGAATTTAGTGGAATGGAATGGAGTGGAACGGAATGGAATGGAATGAAACGGTGAAATGAAATGTGAGCTAAGATGGTTTCACTGCAATCCAGTCTCGGTGAAAGAGTGAGATCCTGTCGACATAAATGAATGGAGGGGAAAGGAATTTAGAAGAACAGAACGAAATGAAGTGGAGTGGAATGGAATGAAGTGGAATGCGGTAGAGAGGATTAGAATGGATTGCAGTGGAATGGAGTGGAGTGGAATGGAGTAGAATGGAGTGGAAAGTAATTGAATGAAATGGAGTGGAATGGAATGCCATGCAGTGGAATGGAGTGGAGTGGAGTCGAATAGAGGGTAATGGAGTGAATTGGAGTGGAGTGGAATGGAGAGGAGTGGAAAGGAATGGAGTGGAAGGGAATGGAATTGAAGGGAACGGTAAGGAATGGAATGGAGTGCAGTTGAGTGCAGTGGAGTGGAGTTGAGTGGAGTGGATAAGAGTGCATTGGAATGAAATGAAATCAATGGATTGGAGACGAGTGCAGTGGACTGGAATGGAATGGAATGGAATAGAACGGATTGGAAGGGAATGGAATGGAATGGAATCGTGAAATGAAAGGTGAGCTAAGATTGTGCCACTGAACTCCAGATGGGTGATAGAGAGAGAACCAGTCAAAATAAAGGATTGGAATGGAATAGAGTAAAATGGAATGGAATGGAGTAGAAAGGAATGGAATGGAGTGGAGTGGAATGGAGGGGAGTGGAGTGCAATGGAGTGGAGAGGAATGGAGTGCAATGGATTGGAATGGAATGGATTTGAACGGAACAGAGTGGAATGAATGGAGTGTAGTGGAATGGAGTGGATTGGGGTGGGTTGGAGAGGAATGGAATGAGTTGCATTGGAGTGAATAGGGGTTGAATGGAATGGAACAGAGTGGAATAGAGTGGAGTGGAGCTTAATGGAGTGGACCAGAGTGCAGAGGAATGGAAAGGAAAGGAATTGAGTGGAGTGGAGGGGTTTGGAGTGGAGTGGAGTGAAGTGGAATGGAGTGGAATGGAAAGGAGTTGAGTGAAAAAGATTGGAATGGAACAGAATGGAATGGAACGGAATGGAATGGAGTGGAATGGAGAGGAGTGGAAGTGAGAGGATTGGATCGGAGTGCAGTGGAAAGGAAAGGAATGGAGTGGAATGGAGTGGAGTGGAATGGAATGGAATGGAATGGAATGGAATGGAATGGAATGGTGAAATGAAATGTATTCTAATGTTGTCCCACTGTACTAAAGTCTTGGTGACAGACTGAGAGCCAGTCGAAATAAAGGAATGGAATGGAATGGAGTAGAATGAAATGGAATGGAGTGCAGTGGAATAGAATGGAGTGGAATGGAATGGAGTGGAGTGGATTGGAGTGGAAGAGATTAAAGTTAAGTGGAATGGAGGGGAATGGAGTGGAATGCAAAGGAATGAAGTGGAGTGGAATGGAATGGAATGGAGTGGAAAGGAGTGGAGTGGAGTGGAATGTAGTGGTGATGAATGGAGAGCAGTAGAATAGAGTGGAAATGAGTGGAATCAAATTGAATGAAATGAAGTGGAATGGGATGCAATGGAGAAGACTGGAATGGAGTGGAGTGGAGTTTTATTGAGTGATATGTGTGGAGTGGAATAAAATGGAGTGGATTGGAATGGGGTGGAATGCTATGGAATGGAACGTAATGGAAAGGAACAGAATAGAACAGAGTGGAGAGGAGTGGAGTCGAAAGGAGTGGAACGGAATGGAGTTGAGTGGACGGAAATGGAATGGAATGGAATGGAACAGAACGAAGTAGAGTGGATTGCAGTAGAGAGGAGTTCGGTGGAATGAAATGGAATGGAATGGAATGCTATGGAATGGAATGGAATGGAATGGAATGGAATGGAATGGAATGGAATGGACTGGTGTAATGAAATGTAGGCTAAGATTCTGCCACCACACCCCAGTCGGGGTGACAGAGTGAGATGAAGAAGAAATAATGGAAAGGAAAGGAATGGAATAGAGTCGAATATACCGGAGTTTTGAGGAATGGAATGGAGTGGAATGTAGTTGAGTGGACTGGAATGGAGGGGAGTGGAATGGAGTGGAAAGGAATTGAATGGAATGGATTGGAATGGAATGGAATGGAGTGGAATGGAGTGGAGTGGAGCGGAATGGAGTGGAATAGAGTGAATTAGAGTGCAGTGCAACGGAATGGATTGGAATGGAAAGGGGAGGAAAGGAACGGAACAGAAGGGAACAGAAAGGAAAGGAATGTATTGGAGTGGACTGGAGTGGAGTTGAGTGGATTGGGTTGGAGTGCAGTGGAATGGAATACAATAGAGCGGAGTGGCGTGCAGTTGAGTGGAGTGGCGTGGGGTGGAATGGTATGGAATGGAATGCAAAGGAACTGAACGGAGTGGAGTGGACTGGAGTGGAGTTGAGTGGAGTGGATCAGAATAAAGTGGAATGGAATGGAATGGAATGGAGTAGAGTGGAGTGTAGTGAAGTGGAGAGGAGTGGAATAAAATGAAATGGAGTGGAATGGAATGGTGAAATTAAAAGTGAGCTAAGATTGTGACACTACACTGCAGTCTGGGAGACAGAGTGAGATTCATTCAAAATAGAGGAACGGAATAGAATGGAGTAGAATGCAATGAAATTCAAAGGAGTGGAATGGAATAGAGTGAAATGGAGAGGAGTGGAATGCAAAGAAGTGGAATGGAATGGAATGGAGTGGAATGTAGTTGAGTGGAGTTGAATGATGTGGAGTAGAATTGAGTGGAATAGAATGGAATGGAAAGAAGTGGAGTGGAGTGTAGTGGAAAGAGTGGAGTGGAATGGAGTGGAATGGAATGGAAAGGAGTGGAGTGATATGGAGTGGAGGGGAGTGGAGTGGAATGGAGTGAAGTGAAATGAAGTGGAGAGGAAAGGAGATTCATGGTGTGGAATGGAATGGAGTGGAGTGGAATGGAATGGAATGCAGTGGAATGGAAAGGAGTGGAGTGGAATGGAGCAGAGTGGAATGGAGTGGAATGGTGTGAAATGGACTGGACTGGAATGCAGTGGAATGGAATGGAATGGAGTGCAAAGGCATGGAACAGAATGGAACGAAGTGGATTGGAGTGGAGTTGAGTGGAGTGGATCGGAGTGAAGTGGAATGTAATGGAATGGAATGGAATGGAGTGGTGTGGAGTGGAGTGGTGTGGAGTGAAATGGAGTGGAATGGAATGGAGTAGAGTGGATTGGTTTAGGATGGAACAGAATGGAATGGAATGGAACAGAAAGGAATGAAACGAAATGGAATGAAGTGCAGTGGAGTTGAGTGGAGTGGAGTGGAGTGGAATGTAGTACAGTGGAGAAAATTGTAGTAGACTGGTATGGAATTTAATAGGAAGGAGCGTAGTGGAGAAGAGTGCAGTGGAGCTGAGTGGAAAGGAATTGAAAGGAATGCAATAGAATGGAATGGAATGAAATGGAATGGAATGGAATGCAATGGAATGGTGAAATGAAATATGAGCTAAGATTGTGGAACTGCACTCCAGTCTGGGGTGACTGAGTGAGATCCATTCGAAATAAAGGAATGGAATGGAACAGAGTAGAATGGAATGGAATGGAGTGGATTCGAGTGGAAAGGAGTGTAATGAAGTAGATTGGAGTGGAATGGAGTGAACTGGAATGGAGTGGAGTGGAACGGGGTAGAATGTAGTGGAATGGAGTGGACAGGAATACACGGGAATGGAATGGAGTTCAGTGGAATGAAGTCGAGCGGAGTGGAATGGAGTGAAGTATAATGGAGTGGAATGGAGTGGAATGGAATGGAATGGTGTGGAATGGAGTGGAGTGGAATGGAGTGTAGTGGAATGGAGTGGAGTTTAATGGAGTGAAATGGAATGGAATGAAATGTAGTGGAATGGAATGGAATGGAGCAGAATTAAATGGAGTGGAGTGGGGTGGAGGAGAAAGGAATGGAGTTTAAAGGAGTGAAATTCAGAGTAGTGGAAGGGAGTGGAGTGGAAAGGAATGGAGTGGAAAGGAGCAGAATGGGATGGAAGAGAAGGGAATGGAGTGGAGTGGAGTGGAGATGATCGGAGTGCACTGGGTTGGAATGGAATGGAATGGAATGTAGTGGAGTTTAGTGTAGTAGAGTTGAGTAGAATGGAGTGGAGTGGAGTGGAATGAAGAAAAACGCAATGGTATGCAATGGAGTGGAGTGGAATGGAATGAATGGAAAGGAATTTAATGGAACGGAATGAAAAGGAATGTAAAAGAAAGGAAGAAAGTGGAGTGGAGCTTAGAGGAGTGGATCAGAGTGCAGTGGAAAGGAAAGGAATGGAGTGGAGTCTAGTGGAGTAAAGTGGAGTGGAGTAGAAAGGAATGGAATGGAATGGAATGGAATGGAATGGAACGGAATGGAAAGGAATGGAATGGAATGGAATGGAATTGTGGAAAGAAATTTGATCTAAGCTTGTGCAACTGCACTTCTGTCTGAGTGACAGACTGAGTTCCAGTCGAAATAAAGGAATGGAATGGAATGTAGTAGAAGGGAATGGAATGGAGTGCAGAGGAATGGAATGGAATGGAATGGAAAAAAATGGAATAAAACTGAATGGAATGGAGTGTAGTGGAGAGAAGTGGAGTTGAGATGAAAAGAGTGGATCAGAGTGCAGTGAAAAGAAATGGAATGGAAAGGAATAGAATTAAGTGACGTGGAGAGCAATGGAGTGGAGTGGATTAGAATGGAATGGAATGGAATGGAATGGAATGGAATGGAATGGAATGGAATGCAATGAAACGGAATGGAACGGAATGGAACGGAATGGAATGGAATGGAATGAAATGGAATGGAATGGAGTGGAACGGAATGGAATGGAGTGGAATGTAGTGGGGTGTAGTTGAATTGAGTGTACTGGAATGGAGTTGAGTTTAATTGAGTGGAATGGTGTGGAATGGAATAGAATGGAATGGAATGGACTGGAGTGGAAGGGAATTGATTGGAGTGGATTGGAGTGGAGAGTAGTGGAATGGAGTGGAATGGAGTGAAATGGGGAAGAGTGGAAGGAGGTAGAGTGGAATGGAATGGAATGGAATGGAATGAAATAGAAGCGAACTGAATGGAAGGGAACGAAAAGGAATGCAGTGAGGTACAGTGGAGTGTTCAGTGGAGTGTAACGGATTGCAGTCAAATAAAATGGAATGGAATTCAGTGGAGTGGATTGGAGTGGAGTGGAGAGGAATGGAATGGAATTGAGTGTAATGGAATGGAATGGAATGGAGTGGAGCAGAATGGAATGCAATGGATTGGAATGGAGTTGAATGGAATTGAGTGTAATGGAATGGTGTGGAATAGACTGGAGTGGAGTGAAATGCAATGGAGTGGAGTGGAGTGGAATGGAGGGGATAGGAGTGGAAATGAATGGAGTTGAGTGGAGTGGAGTGAAGTTGAAAGGAACGTAAAGGGAGTGCAATGGAATGCAATGGAATGGAATTGTGTGGAATGTAATGGAAAAGAAGGAAACGGAATTGAATGTAGTGGATCGGAGTGGAGTGGAGTGGCATGGACTGGAGAGGAATGGAGTGGAGAACAATGGAGTGGAATGGACCTCAATGGAATGGAATGGAATGGAACAGAACTGAACAGAAAGGAAAGGAAAGCAACGGAGTGGAGTGGAGTGGAATGTAGTGGAGAGGAGTGGAATGCAGGGTAATGGATTAGAATGGATTGGAATGGAAAGGAGTAGAATGGAATGCAGTGGAGTGGAATGGAATGCAATGGAACGGTGTGGAACAGAACAGAATCGAAAGGAATGGAGTGGATTGGAGTTGAGTGGAGTGGAACTGAGTGCAGAGGAATGGAATGGAATGGAATGGAATGGAATGGAATGGAATGGAATGGAATGGAATGGAATGGAATGGAATGGAATGGAGTGGAATGGAATGGATTTGAGTGGAGCGGATTGGAGTTGAGTTAAGTGGATTGGATCACAGTGCAGTGGAATGGAAAGAAATGGAATAGAATAGAGTGGAGTGCAGCAGAGTGGAGTGGAATCGAGGGGAATAAAGTGGAATCGATGGGAATGGAATGGAGAGGAGTGGAATGGAACGCAATGGAATGGAAAGGAAAGAAATGTAACGGAATTGAGTGGAGTGGAGTGGAAAGGAATGCAGTACAGTGGAATGGAATGGAGTGGAAATGAATGTATTGGACTGGAGTGGAAGAAAATAAAATGGAATGGATTTGAGTGGAGTGGAATGCAGCGGAGTGGAGTGGAGTGGATTGGAGATGAGTGGAATGGAATGGGGTGTAATGGAATGGAATGGAATGAAATGGAATGGAATGGAATGGTGTGGATTGGAGTGGAATTGAATGGAGGGGATCTCAGTGGAATGGAGTGGACTGGATTGGGAAGTAGTGGAATGGAGTGAAATAGTGCAATGAGAAGGAGTGCAGTGGAATGGAATGGAATGGAGTGGAATACAATGGAATGGATTGAAGAAGAGTGATATGAAGTGGAGTGGATTGGACTGGAGTGGAATGGAGTAGAATGGAATGGAATGGGGTGGAGTGGAATGGAATGGAATTGAGTGGACTGGAGTGGAGAAGAGTGGAATGAAGTGGAGTGGAATAGAGTGGAGGGGGATGGAGTGGAAAAGAGTGGAAACGAATGGAATTGAATAAATTGGAATGGAATGGAATGTAGTGGAATGGAATTTAGTGGAGTGGCATGGAGTGGAGTGGAGCAGAGTGGAGTGGACTGGAATGGAGTTAACAGGAGTGGAGTGCAATGGAGTGAAGTGGAATGGAAAGGAGTGGAATGGAAAGGAATGGAAGGGTATGGAAAGGAAAGGCAAGGAAAGAAATGGAGTGGAGTTGCATTGAGTGGTGAGGAGTAAAGTGGAATGGATCAGAGTGCAGTGGAATGGAATGAAATGGAGTAGAGTGGAGTGCAATGGAGTGGAA
This sequence comes from Homo sapiens, assembly GCF_000001405.40. Lineage (NCBI taxonomy): Eukaryota > Metazoa > Chordata > Mammalia > Primates > Hominidae > Homo > Homo sapiens. Next base: position 10,823,100 of record NC_000024.10, on the reverse strand, counting down.
AGGAGTGGAGTGGATGGAATGGAGTGGAATGGAATGGAGTGGAGTGGAATGGGATTGAAAGGAAAGAAATGGAATGGAACACAATGGAATGGAACTTATGGAACAGACTGGAGTGGTGTGGAATGGATTGCAGTGGAATGGAGTGGAATGGAGCAGGATGGACAGAAACGGAATTGGGTGGAATGGAGTGGAATGGAGTGGAATCAAATAAAGTGGAGTAGAGAGAAATGTAGTGCCGTGGAGTGGAATGGTGGGGAATGGAGAGAAATGTAGTGGATTGGAATAGAATTGAGTGGAATGCAATGGAATGGAATTGAATGGAATGGAACGCAAAGGAATGGACAGGAAGGGAAGGAAGTGGAGTGGAGTTGAGTGGAGTGAATCGAAGTGCAGTGGAACACAATGCAATGGAATGGAATGGAATGGAATGGAATGGAATGGAATGGAATGGAAAGGAATAGAAAGGAAAGGTGAAATGAAATGTGAGCTAAGATTGTGCCATTGCACTCCAGTCTGGGTAACAGAGTGATTTCAGTCGAAATAAAGGAATGGAAGGGAATGGAATTCATGGAATGGAGTGGAGTGGAGAGGAGTGGAGTTGTAGGGAATTGAGTGAAATGGACTGGAGTGGAATGGAGGGGAGTGGAATTGAATGTAGTGAAATGGAACGGAATGGAATGGAACAGCATGGAATGGAATGGTGTGCAGTGACGTTAGGTGGTGTGGAGTCAAGTGGAGTGTATCAGAGTGCAGTGGAATGGAATGGAATGGAATGGAAAGGACGGGAATGGAGTAGATTATAGACGAATGCAGTGGAATCAAGTGGAGTGGAGCTGAATGCAGTGGACTGGAATGTAGTGGAGTGGAGCGGAGTGGAATGGAATGGAACAGAATGGAATGGAGTGGAATTTAATGGAATGGAGAGGAGTGGAATGGAGTGGAATGGGGTAGAATGGAGTGTAATGGATGAAATGGATTGGAGTGGAATGGAGTGGAGTGGAATATAATGGAATGAAATTGAGTGGAATGGAGTGGAATAAAATACACTGGAATGGAATGCTGTGGAGTTGAGGGGAGTGAATGAGAGTGGAGTGAATTGGAGTGGAGTTGAATAGAATGGAGGGGAATGGAATGGAGTGGAATGGAATAGAAAGGAATGGAATGGAATGGAATGGAATGGAATGGAGTGGAGTGGAGTGGAGTGGAGTGGAGTGGAGTGGAGTGGAGTGGAATGGAGTGGAATTGAACGGAGTGCAGTGGAATGGAATGGAATCAAACGGAATGAAATGGAATGGAAAAGAATGGAATAGAGGGGATCGGAACAGATTGGAGTGGAGTGGATTGTGGTGGAATGGAGTAGAGTGGAATGGAGTGGAATGGAGTGGGATGGAGTTAAAGAGACTGGAGTAGAATGGAATGAAGTGGAATGGAATGGAGTGGAATGGAACGGAACAGAATGGAACGGTATGGAATGGAACAGTATGGAATGGAACGGAGTGGAGTGGCCTGGAGTGGTGTGGAATAAATTGGAGTGGATTGGAGTGCAGTCAAATGGAATGGAATGGAACAGAATGGAAAGGAGTTCAGTGGAGAGGAGTGGAGTGGAGTGGATTGGATTGGAGTGGAATGGAGTGAAATGGAATGGAAAAGAATGGAAAGGAGTGTAATGGAATGGAGTGGAGTGGATTGGAATGGAGTTGAGTGGAGTGGAGTGGAACTGAGTGGAATGGATCTGACTGCAGTGGAATGGAATGAAATGGAATGGAATGCAATGAAATGTAATGCAATGAAAAGAAGAAATGAAATGTTAGCTAAGATTCTGCCACTGCATCCTAGTCAGGGTTACGGAGAGAGATTCAGTCGAAATAAAGGAATGGAATGGAATGCAGTGGCATGGAATGGAGTGGAGTGGAGTATAGTGGATTGGAGTGGATAGGAGTGGAATCGAGAGGAGTGGAGTTGAATGGAGTGGAGTGGAATGGAATGGAGTGGAATGGAACAGAACAGAACGGAATGACACGGAATGGAATTGAACCGAGTGGAGTGGACTGGAGTTGAGTGTAGAGGATAAAAGTGCAGTGGAATGAAGTAGAATGAAATGGAAGGGAATGGAATGGAATGGAATGGAATGAAATGGAATGGAATGGAGTGGTGAAATGAAATGTGAGCTAAAATTTGGGACTGAACTCCAGTCTGGGTGACAGAGTGATACCCAGTTGAAATAAAGGAATGGAATGAAATGCCATAGAATGGAATGGAATGGAGAGGAGTGGAATGGTATGTAGTGGAATGGACTGGAGTGGAGTGGAGTGGAGTGGAATGGAGTGGAGTGGATTTGAGTGGAATGGAAAGGAGTGGAATGAAGTGGAATTGAATGAAATGGAATGGGGTGGAATGGAAAGGAATGGATTGGAATGAAGAGCAGTGGAGTGGAATGGAGTAGAGTGGAACAGATTGTAGTGGAATGGAGTGGAGTACAGTGGAGTAGAATGTAGTGGACTAGAGTGGAACAGAAAGGAAGTGAGTGAAATAGAATGGAATGGAATGGAGTGGAACACAATGGAGAGGAGAGGAGTGGAGTGGAGTGGAATGGAGTGGAAAGTAATTTAATTAAACGAGAAGGAGTGGAGTGGAATGGAGTGCAATGGAATGGAATACAGTGGAATGGAATGGATTGGGAGGGAATGGAATGAAATGGAATGGAGTTGAGTGGAGTGGAGTGGAATGGAATAGAACGGAGTGGAATGGAATTGAGTGGAGTGAAGTGGAATTGAATGGAATGGAATGGAATTTAATGGAAAGGAGAAGACTGTAATGGAACAGAAAGGAATGGATTAGAGTGGAGTGGAATTGAGTGGAGTGGACGGAGTGCAGTGAAATGGAAGGGAATGGAAAGCCATGAAATGGAATGGAATGTAGTGTAGTGGAATGGAATGGAGTATAATGGAATGGAGTAGAGAGGAGTGCAGTAGAATGGAGTTTAGTGTAGTGGATTGGATTGCAATGGAATGGATTTTAATGATATGGAATGAAGTGAGAATGATTGGAGTGAAATGGAATGGAGTGGAGAGGGGTGTGGTGGAGCAGAGTCGAATTGAGTGGAGTGGAACGGAATGGAGTGGAGTGGAATGGAACGGAATCGAACCGAATGCAACGGAGTGGAGTAGAGTGGAATGGAATGCAATGGAGTGGAATGTAATTGAGTGGAGTGAAAAGGAATGGAATGGAACAGAAAGGAATTTAATGGAAAGGTGCAGAATGGAATGGAATGGAAAGGAGTGGAGTGGAGTGGAATTTAGTGGAGTGGACGGAGTGTAGTGAAATGGAAGGGAAAGGAAAGCCATGAAATGGAATGGAGTGCAGTATAGTGGAATGGAATAGAGTAGAATGGAATGGAGTAGAGTGGATTGGAATAACGTGGGGTTGAGTTGAGTGGATCGGATTGCAGTGGAATGGAATGGAATGATATAGAATGAAATGAAAAGGTTTGGAGTGAAATAGAATGGAGTGGAGAGGGGTGGGGTGGAGTTCAGTGGAATGGAGAGGAGTGGAATGGAATCGACTGGACTGGAATGGAACGGAACAGAACGGAATGGAACGGAGCAGAATGGAATGTAGTGGAGTGGCGTGGATTTGAGTCGATTACACCGGAGTTCAGTGGAATGAAATGGAATGCAATGGAGTGGAGTGGAGTAGAGTTGAGTGGAGTGGAATGGAGTTTAATGTAGTGGTATGGAATGGAGTGGAGTTGAATGGAATGGAATGGGATGGAATGGAAAGGAATGAAAAGGAATGGAATGGAATGGAATAGAGTGGAGTGGATTGGACTGGAGTGGATTTGAGTAGAGTGGATTGAAGTGGAATGGAATTCAGTGGAATGGAATGAAATGGGATGGAATGGAAAGGAATGGAGTAGAATGAGGTGGAACGGTATGGAGTATGGTGGAGTGGAATGGAGTGGAGTAGTTTGGAATGGGATGGGGTGGAATGGAATGGAGTGGAGTGGAATGGAACAAAGAGGAGTGGAGTGGAGTCGAGTGGAATGGAGAGGAGTTGAGTGGAGTGGATTGGGGTTGAGTGGAGTGGATTGGTGTGGAATGGAGAGGAATGGAATGGAATGGGGTGGAATGGAATGGGATGGAGTTGAATGGAATTGAATGCAGTGGAGTGTTATGGAATGGAATGGAATGGAGTGGATTAGAGTGCAATGGAAAGGAATGGAGTGGAAGGGAATGGAGACGAGTGGAATGGAATGAAGTGGAATGGAGTGGAATTGAATTCAGTGGAGTTGAATGGAATGGAATGGAATAGAAGGGAAAGGAATGGAACGGAATGGAATGGAATGGAATGGAAAGCAAAGGAATAGAACGGAGTGGAGTGGAATGGAAGGGAGTGGAGTGGAGTTGAGTGGAGTGGATTGGAGTGCAGTGAAATGGAATGGAATGGAATGGAATGGTATGGAATGACATGAAATGGAATGGAATGGAATGGAGTGGAATGGAATGTAACAGGTGGTGGAGTAGAGTGGAGGCGAGTGCAGTGGAGTGGAATAGAATGGAATGGAATGAAGTGAAATGGAATGGTGGAATGAATTATTAGTTAAGATTGTGCCAATGTACTCCAGTATGGGTGACAGAGAGATATCCAGTAGAAATAAAGGAATGGAATGGAATCACGTAGTATGGAATGGAATGGAATGGAATGGAGTGGAGTGGAGTGGAATAGAGTATCGTGAAGTGGAATGGAGTGGAATTGAATGGAGTGGAGTGGAATGTAGTGGAGTTGAGTGGATTGGATTGCAGTTGAATGGAGTGGAGTGGAATGGGACAGATAGGAATAGAAGGGATCATATCAGAACACAACAGAAAGGAACAGAGTGGAGTGTGGTGGAGTGTAATGGAGTTGAGTAGAATGGATTGGAGTGCAGTGAAATGAAATGGAACTGAATGGAATGGAACAGCATGGAATGGAATGGAGTGAAGTGGAGTGAAGTAGAATAGAGTGGAATGGAATGAAATCCAAAGGAATGGAAAGGAATGAAATAGTGAAATGAAATGTGAGCTAAGATTGTGCTACTGCACTCCAGTATGGGTGAGAGAGTGAGATCCTGTCGAAATAAAGGAATTCAATGGAATGGAATAGAATGGAATGAAATGGAATGGAGTGGACTGGAACGGAGTGGTATGGAGTGGAGTGGAGAGGAACGGAGTGGAGTTAAGAGGAATGGAGTGGAGTGGTATGGAGTGGAGTGGAATAAAGTGGACTGGAGTGGAATGGAATGAAATGGAGTGGATTTTAATGGAATGTAGTGGAATGTATTGTAACGGAATGGAGTGGAGTGGAATGGAGTGGAATGGATAGGAATGGAAAGGAGTGGAATTGAATGGAATGGATTTGAATGCAATGGAGTGGGTTCGACTGGAGTTGGAGTGGAATGGAGTAGAATGGCGTGAAATGGAGTGGAATGCAATGAAGTGGAAAGGAATGGAGTGGAAGTGAACATAACGGAAAGGAATGGAATAGAATGTAGTGGAGTGGAGTGGTTTCGATTTCAGTGGAGTGGATCGGAGTGCAGTGGAATGGAATGGAATGGATTAGAATGGAGTGAAATGGAATGGAATGCAGTGGTGTGGAATGGAAAGGAATGGAGTGGAGTGGGATGAAGTGGAGTGGAGTAGGCTGGACTTGAGTGGAGTTGTGTGGAATGCAATGGAATTGAATTGAATGGAAAGGAATAGAATGGAATGGAATGGAATAGAATGGAATGGAATGGTGAAATGAAATCTGAGCTAAGATTGTGCCACAGCA
>NC_000024.10:10810479-10816758 GCF_000001405.40 Homo sapiens | reverse complement strand
TGCAGTGGAAAGGAATGGAAAGGAACGGAATGGAAGGGAAAGGAATGGAATGGAGTGGAGTGGAGTGGAGTGGAGTGGCTCAGAATGCATTGGAATGGAATTGAATGTAATGGAATGGCATGCAGTGGAGTACAGTGGAGTGGAGTGGAATGGAATGGATCAGAATGGAATGGATTCGAGTTAAATGGAATGAAATGGAATGGAATGGAATGGAATGGAATGGAATGGAATGGAATGGAACTGAATGGAATGGAATCAAATGGAACAGAGTGGAGTGGAGTAGAATGGATTGAAGTTGAGTGGAGTGGATCGGAATGCAGTGGAGTCAAATGGAAAGGAATGGAATGCAATGGAGTGGACTTGAGTGGAATTGAGTGGAGTGGAGTGGAATGGATGGGAGTGGAATAGATTGGAATAGGGTGGAATGGAATGGAGTGGAATGGTGTGGAATGGAATGGAAAGTAATGGAGTGGAATTGCGTGGAATGGATTGGAATGGAGTTGAGTGGACTAGAATGGAGTGCAGTGGAATGGAATGGTATGTAATGGAATAGTATGGAACAGAGCGTAATGGATTCAAGTGGAATGGAGTGTCATGGTGTTGAGTGGAGTGGATCGGAGTGCAGTGGAATGGAATGGAATGGAATGGAATGCAGTGGAATGGACTGGTGTAATGGAAAGAATGGAATGTAATGGAATGGAAAGTAACAGAAGTGAGTAGAGCAAAGTGGAGTGGAGAAGAGTTGAGTGGAGGGGATTGGTGTGCTGTGGAATGGAAAGGAGGGGACTGTAGTGGAATGGAAGGGAATTGAGTGGAGAGGACTGCAGGGGAGTGGAATGGAATAGAATGGAATGGAAAGGAATGGAATGGAGTGGACTGCGGTTGAATGAAGTAGACTTTAGTGGAGTGGAGGGAATGGAGTGGATTTGGGTGGAGTGGAGAGTAGTGTAGTAAAGTTGAAGAGAGTGAATCAAAATGTAGTTGAATGGAATGGAATGGAGTGCAGTGGAGTGGACTGGAGTGGACTGTAGTGCAATGGAGTGGAATGGAATGCATTGGAGTGGAATGGAATGGAAAAGAATGGAAGTGAATGGAGCAGAAAGGAATGGAACAGAGAGGAGTGGAGTGGAGGTGATTGGACTGTATGAGAATTCAGTGGAATGAATGGAATTCAAAGGAATTGTATGGAACGGAATGGAATTGAATGGTGAATGAAATGTGAGCTAAAATTGGGGCACTGCAATTCATTCTGAGTGACAGAGTGAGATCCACTGAAAATAAAGGAATGGAATGCAATGGTGTAGAATGGAATGGAGTGGAACAGAAGGGAAAGGAACGGAGTGGAGTGCCATGGAGTGGAGTGGAGTTCAGTGGATTGGATTGGAGTGCAGTAAAATGGAATGGAATGGAATGGAGTGGAGTGGAGTGGAATGAAATGCAGTGGAGTGGAGTGGAGTGGAATGGATTGGAATGCAATGGAATGGTGAAATGAAATTTGAACTGAGATTTTGCTGCAGCACTCCAGTCTGGGTGACAGTGTGAGATCCAATCGAAATTAAGGAATGGAACAGCATGGAATAGAATGTAATGGAAAGGAGTGGAGTGGAATGGAGTAGAGTGGAATGCAATGGAGTGGAATGGAATGGAATGGAGTGGAGTGGAGTGGAGTGGAATAGAATCTAATGAAGTGGAGTAGAGAAGAGTGGAATGGATTGAAGTGGAGTGAAATGGAGTGGAATGGAATGGAGTGGAGTGGAATGGAGTAGAATAGAATGTAGTGGAATGGAGTGGCATGGAGTGAAGTTGAGTGCAGTGGATTGGAGTGCTGGGGAATGGAATGGAGTGGAATGGAATGGAGTGGAGGGGAGTGGAGTGGAATGAAGTGGAATGGGGTGAAATTGAGAGGAATGGAGTGGAATGGAATGGAGTCGAGTGGAATGGAATGGAATGGAATGGAGTAGAATGGGATGGAATGGAATGAAGTGGAAAGGAACGGAACAGAGTAGAGAAGAGAGGAGTGGAGTTGAATGGAGTAGATAGGAGTGCTGTGGAATGGAAGATAATGCAAAAGAATGGAATGGAAAGGAATGCAAAGGAAAGGAATGGAATAGAATGGAATGGTTAATGAAATGAGAGCTAAGATTGGGCCACTGCACTCCTGTCTTGGGGACAGAGAGAGATCCCGTCGAAATAAAAGACTGGAATGGAATGGAGTAGAATGGAATGTAATGGTGTGCATTGGAATGGAATGGAATGGAATGGAATGGAATGGAATGGAATGGAATGGAATGGAATAGATGGGAATGGAATAGAATGGAGTGGAGTGGAATGGAACATAACGGAATGGAACAGAATGGAACAGAATAGAATGGAGTGCAGTGGACTGGAGTGGAGTGGAGTCGAATTCAGTGGAGTGGGTAGGAATGCAGTGGAATGGAATGGAATGCAGTGGAATGGTATGAAATGGAATGGAATGGAATGGAATGCAATTGAATGGTTAAGGAAATGTGAGCTAAGATTGGACACAGCACTCCAGTATGGGTGACAGAGTGAGAATCACTCGATATAAAGTAATAGAATGTAATACAGTATAGTGGAATGTAATGGATTGGAGTGGAATGGAATGCAGTGGAATTGAGAGGAGTGGAGTTGACTGGATTCGAGTGGAATCGAGAGGAGTGGAATAGAGTGGAATGGAGTGGAATGGAAAATCATGAAAAGGAGTGGAATGGAAAGGAATGGCATGGAGTGCAGTGGAGTGGAGTGGAATGGAGTGGAGGGGAATACAGTGGAGTGAAATGAAAAGGAATGGAAGAGAATGTAGTGTAATCGAATGGAGTGGAATGGAATGGAATGGAATGGAATGGACTGGAGCACAGTTGAGTGGAGTGGATCGAAGTGCAGTGGAATTGAATGGAATATTGTAGAATGGAATGCACTGAAATGGACTGGAATGTAATGGAATGGTGAATAGAAATGTGAGCTAAGATTCCGCCACTGCACTTCAGTCTGGTGACAAAGTGAGATCCAGTCGAAATGAAGGAATATAATGAAACGGAGTTGCATGATATCGAATGGAGTGGAGTGGAGTGGAATGCAATGGAATTGAGTGGAATGGAGTGGAGTGAAGTGGAATGGAGTGGAATGAAGTGGAATGGAGTGGCGTGGAATGGAATGGAATGTAGTGTAATGGAATGGAATGGAAAGCAGAGTAATTGAATGGAATGGATTGGAATGGAGTGGAGTGGAACAGAATGGAGTGGAGTGAGTGGAGTGGATTGGAGGTGATGGAGTGGAGTGGAATAGAATGGAGGGGAATGTAATGGAGTGGAGTGGAGGGGAATGAAATGGAATGGAGAGAAATGAAGTGCAATGGAGTGGAAAGGAGTGGAATGCAGTGAAAAGGAATGGAGTGGAATGGAGTGAAGTGGAATGGAATGAATCGGAATGGAATGTAATGCAAAGGAATGGAAAGAAACGGAATGGAGTGGCATGGAGTTGAGTGGAGTGGACCGGAGTACAGTGGAACGGAATGGAATGGAACTGAATGCAGTGGAGTGGACTGGAGTGGAATGGAATGGAGTGTAGTGGAGTGGAGTGGAATGGAATGGAGTCGTGGGGAACGGAATGGAACACAGTGGAGTGGAGGGGAGTAAAGTTGAGTGCGGTGGATCAGAGAGTAGTGGAATGAAATGGAATGGAATGGAGTGGAGTGGAGTGCAGTGGAGTGGAGTGGATTGCAGTAGAGTGGAGTGGAATGGATTGGAGAGGAGTGGCGTGGAGTGCAGTAGAATGGAATGGAGTGGAGTGCAATGGAATGGTGTGGTATTCAATGAGATAGAATGGATTGGTGAAATGAAATGTGAGCTAACATTGGGCCACTGCATTCCTGTCTGGGTGACAGAGTGAGATCCCGTCAAAATAAAGGAATGGAACGGAGAAGAATGGATTGGAATGGAGTGGAGTAGAATGGAGAAGGGTGAAATGGAATAGAGTGGAATGGTAAAGAATGGAATGCAATGGAATGGAGTGGAGTGTAGTGAAGTTGAGTGGAGTAGATTGGAGTGAAGGGGAATTGAATGCAATGGAATGGAGTGTAGTGGTGTGGAGTGGGGTGGAATGAAGTGGAATGCAGTGAAATGCAGAAGAATAGAGTGGAATGGAATGGTGTGGAGTGGAATGGAATAGAAGACAATGGAATGGAACGGAATGGAACGGAATGGAGAAGAGTGGCGTGGATTTGAATGGAGTGGATCGGAGTGCAACGGAATGGAAGGGAATGCAACAGCATGGAATGGAATGGAATGGAATGGAATGGAATGGAATGGAATGGAATGGAATGGAATAGTTGATGAAGGCCACCGCACTCCTATCTTGGTGACAGAATGAGAACCCATAGAAAAAAAAGGAATGGAATGGAGTAGAGTGGAATAGAATGGTCTGCATTGGAAAGGAATGGAATGGAGTGGAATGGAACGGAATGGAATGGAATGGAATGGAATGGAGTGGAGTTGAGGGGAATGGAGTGAAGTGGAGTGGATTGGATTGGGATGAGGTGGAATGGAATGGAATGGAGTGGAGTAGAGAGGTATTTAATGTAATGGAATAGAACGGGATGGAAAAGAATAAAACGGAGTGGAGTGTAGTTCAGAGCAGTGAAAGAGAGTGCAATGGAACGGAATGAAATACAATGGAATGGAATTGAACGAAATTGAATGGAATGGAATGGAATGCAATCGAATGGTTAATGAAATGTGAGCTAAGATCGGGCTATGGCACTCCACTTGGGGAGACACTGTGAGATTCAGTCGAAATAAAGAATGGAATGGAATGGATTGGAGTAGAATGGAATGTAATGAATTGGAGTGGAATGGAATGCAGTGGAATGGAGAGGAGTGGAGTTGTTTGGGTACGAGTGGAATCGAGTGGAGTGGAATGGAGTGGAATGGAACATCATGGAAAGGAGTGGAATGGAAAGGAATAGCTTGGAGTTCAGTAGAGTGGAGTGGAACGCAGTGGAGTGGAATGGAGTGGAATGGAATGGAATGTAGTGGAATCGAACGGAGTGGAAAGGAATGGAATGGACGGGAGTGGAGCAGACTTGAGAGGAGTGGATCGGAGTGCATTGGAATGGAAAGCAATGTAGTGGAATGGAATGGAAAGAAATGGAATGGTGAAATAAAATGTGAGCTAAGATTGTGCCAATGAACTTCAATCTGATGACAAAGTGAGATCCAGTAAAAATAAGGGAATTGAATGGAACGGAGTTGCAAGTTATGAAATGGAGTGGAGTGGAGTGGAAAGGAATGTAGTGGAATGAAGTGGAGTGGAGTGGAATGGAATGGAATGGAATGGAGAGTAATTGAATGTAATGTATTGGAATGGAAAGGAGTGGAGTGGAACGGAATGGAGTGGAGTGGAGTGGATTGGAGTTGAATGGAATGGAGTGGAATAGAATGGAAGTGAGAGGAATGTAATGGAATGGAATGGAATGGAGTGGAGTGGAGTGGAGAGGAGGGGAATGAAGTGAAATGGAGTGAAATGCAAAGGAATGGAGAGGAATGGAATGCAGTGGAGTGGAATGGATTGGAATGGATTGGAGTGGAATGCAATGGAATGGAAAGGAAAGGAAAGGAAAGGAGAAGAGTGGAATGGAGTTGAATGGAGTGCACCAGAGTGCAATGGAATGGAAGAGAACTCAATAGAATTGAATGGAGTGGAATGGAATGGAGTGGAATGGAGTGCAGTGGAATGGAGTGGAATGGATTTTAAGGAATGGAATGGAGTGGAATGGATTTTAACGGAATGGAATGGAATGGAGAGTAATTGAATGGAATGAATTGGAATGGAGTGAAGTGGAGTGGAATGGAACAGAATGGAGTGGAGTGGAGTGGTTTGGAGTTGAATGGAATGGAGTGGAATAGAATCGACGGGAGTAGAAAGGAGTGGAGTGGAGTGGAATGGAATGGAGTGGAATGCACTGCAGTTGAGTGGAATGGAGTGGAATAGAGTGAAATGGAATGGAAAGCAGTGGAATGGAATGAAATGGAATGGAGTGAAGTGGAATGGAAAGGAGTGGAATGGAATGGAATGGAATGGAATGGAACAGAATCGAAAGAAACGCAGTGGAGTATCATGGAGTTGAGTGGAGTGGATAGGAGTGCACTGGAATGGAATGGAATGGAATGGAACGGAATGCAATGGAGTGGACTGGAGTGGAATGGAATGGAGAAGAGTGGGGTGGGGTGGATTGGAGTTGAATGGAATGGAGTGGAATGG